>NC_000007.14:116749203-117052233 GCF_000001405.40 Homo sapiens | reverse complement strand
ATGCTGGGGATAACTTAATTATGGCCCTTTACATTGCACCACAGCAATAAGTGATGGAGTTTTTTTTTTGTTTTTAAATCTTCTCTTTCATATCTGCCCTGTGAAATATTTCTGGGAAACCAGATCAGAATCACAAGGCCTTGGACACTAACGCTTTTACTTGAGAACACTGCATAAATTATTGATGACACAGAGGCTGCACTGTGTTCAAAGAGTCTGCAGCAGATGAAAAGCTTTTATTTTGGTAAGAAGCAAGAGAATGGGAATAAAAACATGTGGGTGGCTAGACTCTGCTAAGGGTTGCCAACCTTCAAATTTCCTTTGGCCTTTGTTGCATGTCCTTCTCTATTTCCTTCAGATAATTTATGTCAGCTAATGGCACTCCCATCCATCTCATTCCTCAAGTTAGGAACTTGGGAATCATCCTTGATTTCTCTGTCTCCCTCACTCCCCACACCCAATCCAACAAGCTCCATCAGTTCTACCATCCAAGTATGATCTGAATGAATCCTCCCTCTCTCTCCACCTTGACCATTCTAGTCCAGGCCACCATCACTTCTCATCTTACACAAGGACTTCCTAGCGGCCTCCTGCTTCCACTCCTGCTCTATCTATTCCCTCCTGTCCACTTTCCATATAATACAAACATTAGACCCTGTTGAGTTTTAAAACTCTTCAGTGTCTTCCCATGCATTCAGAATAAACCCCAGATTCCACACCATGGATATGAGCCCCTGTGTGACCTAGCCCTTGCCTCTGTTTCTTTCTGAACAGGCAAAGGTCAAGCTCTTTCCCTCTCAGGGCTTCTGCACATGCTGAGCCCCTCTCTGTAATGCTCTTCCTTCACAAGCCTGACTTCCTGGAAGCCTACATCTTGAATCTCAACTCCTCAGAAAGGCTTTCTCTGACCACCTTAGCTGTGTTAAGAGACCAATTAGCCTAGATCTCTGCACCCTATTAGGTAAATACATATATGTTGCCTATTTGTTTGTTGTCTGCTATATCCATTAAACTATGAGTTCCATGACAGAAGGGACCATTTCCATCTTGTTCACTGTTGCAATTCTAGCAGTTAAACACAGTAAGTTTTAATGAAAGGAAGAATACTTTGTTTCATTTGTAATTTGTGGTATTTCTACAAGTACAGTTGACCCTGGAATCACAAATTTGAACTGTGTAGGTCTGTTTATACGCAAATTTTCTGCAATAAACATATTGGAAAAAAAATTTGGAGATTTACAAAAATTTGAAAAACTCAAACCGCATAGCCTGAAAATATTTTCTTTTCTTTTTTTTTTTTTTTTTGAGACGTAGTCTCGCTCTGTCGCCAGGCTGGAGTGCAGATGCTCGATCTCGGCTCACTGCAACTTCCGCCTCCTGGGTCCAAGTGATTCTCCTGCCTCAGCCTCCCGAGTAGCTGGGACTACAGGCGTGCGCCATCACGCCCAGCTAAATTTTTGTATTTTTAGTAGAGACGGGGTTTCACCACGTTGGCCAGGGTGGTCTAGATCTCTTGACCTCGTGATCCACTCGCCTCGGCCTCCTTAAGTGCTAGTATCACAGGCGTGAGCCACCGCACCAGGCCTCAGAATTTTTAAGTTAGGTATGTGTCATGAATGTGTAAAATATATAGAGACGGTAGTCTATTAAATATATCATTCACTACCATAAAATATACACAAATTATAAAAAGTTAAAATTTATCAAAACCTACACACACAAACACAGACCATACATGGCACCATCCGCAGTCAGGAGAAATGTAAACAATTGTAAAGATGCAGGATGAAATCAGAACTGTATAAAATTAACTGTAGTGCATGCTGTGCTACTGTAATAATTTCGTAGCCACTTCTGTTGCTATTGAGATGAGTTTGTTTGGAGGATTGGCTTAAAACAACATGTGACATTAATCATCTCCATGGGAGCAGTCTGTCTCTCCAGTGAATTGCTCATCACAGCAGTAAGTGATCTCTCACAGGTCTGGCATATTTTTCTTTTTTTCTTTTTTTTTTTTTTGAGACGGAGTCTCACTCTGTCGCCCAGGCTGCAGTGCAGTGGTGCAATCTCAGCTCACTGCAACCTCCACGTCCCGGGTTCAAGTGATTCTCCTGGCTCAGCCTCCCGAGTAGCTGGGACTACAGGTGCCTGCCAACACACCCAGCTATTTTTTTTTTTTTTTTGTATTTTTAGTAGAGACAGGGTTTCACCGTGTTAGCCGGGATGGTCTCAATCTCCTGATCTCGTGATCCACCTGCCTCGGCCTCCCAAAGTGCAGGGATTACAGGCGTTGAGCCACCAGGCCCGGCCAGGTCTGGCATATTTTTCATCACGTTTAGTACAATACTGTAAATCTTTAATAACACCATGGAACCCATATGAAGTGTCACTAGTGATGCTGGAAAGGACCCCAAGAAGCAGAGAAAAGTCATGACATTATAGGAAAAAAGTGAACTGCTTGATATGTGACTGAGGTCTCCAGCTGTGGTTGCCCACCACTTCGAGATACATGAATCTGGAGTAAGAATCATTGTAAAACAAAGAAAACAAAATTCATGAAGCTGTCACTACAGCTATGCCAGCAGACACAAAACACATGCACTTTTTGCAAAATATCTTTTTATCTCTTATTGAAAATGCAGCTTTTATGTGGGTGCTGGATTGCTATAAGAAAGGCATACCTGTGGACTATAGTATGATTTGAGAAAAAGTGATGTCATTACACGACAACTTAAAGCAAAAGGAAGATGAAGGATCTAAAGCTAGAGAATTTAATGCTAGCAAATGATGGTTTTATAATTTTAGAAAGAGGTTTGGTTTAAGAAATGTCAAGATAACAGGAGATGCAGCTTCTGCCAACCAAGAGGCAGCAGATGAGTTCCCAGGTGCCATTAAGAAAATAATTGAAGAGAAAGGATACCTACCTGAACAGGTTTTCAATGTAGACGAAAGTGCCCTATTCTGGGAAAAAAATGCCACAAAGGACATTAGTAAGGAAGAGAAGGAATCACCAGGATTTAAGGTAGAGATAGGCGACTTCTACTGTTCAGTGCAAATGCAGTTGGGTTTATGACCTAGACTGCCCTTACCTATAAAGCTGCTGATGCCCAAGCCCTGAAGGGAAAAGATAAACACCAGCTGCCAGTTTTTTAACTTTACAACAAGAAGGCCTGGACAATGACAACCCTTTTTCTGGATTGGTTCCATCAATGCTCTGTCCTTGAAGTCAGGAAGTACCTGTCAATAAAAGACTGCCTTTTAAAAGTTCTTTCGATATTGGACAATGAAGTGGTCTACTTGCTTCCAAACACAGTGTCTCTAATTCGGCCTCTAGATCATGGAATCATAAAGACTTTTAAGGCTCATTACACACAATACTCTATGGAAAGGACTGTCAGTGCTATGAGGAGAACCCCAACAAAGGGAACATAATGAAAGTGTGGAAGGATTATACCATTGAAGATGCTATCACTGTTACACAAAAAGCAGTGAAAGCCACCAAACCTGAAACAATAACTTCCTGCTAGAGAAAACTGTGTTCAGATGTTGTGCATGACTTCCCAGAATTTACGACAGAGCCTATCAAGGAAACCATGAAAGAGACCGCAGATATGGCAAAAAGGAGCAGGTGGGGTGGGGTGGGTAAAGGGTTTCAAGATATGGATCTTGGAGAAATTCAAAAGCTAATAGACACCACACCAGAGGAATAAAACAGAAGGCAACTGGATAAAGATGAGTGCTTCCAAACCAATGCAAAATGATGAAGAAGACATAAAAATGCCAGAAAACAAACTGACATTAGATAATCTACCAGAAGATTCTGATTATTCAAGACTGCTTTGGGCTTCTTTTACAACATGGACCATTCTATGATCCAGACGCTGAAACTTGCAAATTTGTATCATATACAAATATTTTTAGATAAATGACAAAGCAAAAATTCAGACAGAAATTATGATGTATTTTTGTAAAGTTATACCGAATGTCCCTGCCTCTCCTGCCTCCCCTTTCACCTCCTCCATCTCTGCCACCCCTGAGACAGCAAGATCAACTCCTCCTTTTCCTCCTCCTTCTCGGCCTACTAAACATGAAAATGATGAAGAAGAAAACCTTTGTAATGATCCACTTCCACTTAATGAACAGTAAATATATTTTCTCTTCCTTATGATTTTCTTATTATGAGAATATAGTATATAATACTTATACAAAATATGCGTTGATTGACCATTTAGGTTATCAGTAGGGCTTCCAGTCAAGTAGGCTACTAGTAGTTAAGTTTTGTGGGAGCCAAAAGTTATATTCAGATTTTTGACTGCACATGGGTTAGCATCCCTAACCCCTGCACTGTTCAAGGGTCAACTGTATATTAATAGTGCACAACATAGAAAATAAATCCCTGACTTCCAAGCTGATTTCTGAAGTCATTGTTTACTTCTGCATTCGATTTCTCAACATGCCCTCTCAGGCCAATTTCTAGAATAAAAATTTGGCATGGAGACTTATAACCACGAAAAACATCCCCAGCCTCCAAACACCTGGTATTAAGCTAGCTAACCTAGCCTCAAATGTCACAGATTTCACATTACATCTGTTTAATCTAAACCCTTTAATTATTGCCAGCCTAGGAAGCTATCTAACAATGCACAGAGTATAAACGGCTAGACACTAGATTAATGTAAAATTGGATTGCAGCTAGACATGCACATTTGCATGGTTCTAAAATTTTCCTAGAGGACTCTCTAAATATAATTATATCATGTGAATACCATATCAAAGGGCCCTCCAGACAGATTCTGGGCAGGATTCAGTTCTTACAATCAAATGCTCTATTTCGTAAAACAATCCATCTCATGAACAACAAAGTTGTCACTCCCTGTAATTAAGTCGTTCTGAAGAAACACACAATTCCCAGGTTCTGTTTCCTCTGTCATAAAAACAATTTCTAAATCCTCTTTGCTTAAATGTTTAACATTTTCAACTTATAACTTCAAATGGGGCTTTTTACCTAGGGAAAAAAAGATGAGTGGTAGGAATCACTCTGAAGGATGAACCCATAAGAACATCAAAAACCATGGGCTTCCCTAGTTTTTAATGACCGATGTCCTTAGTTTAGTATTTCATTCAATGTATCCAATGCAATTTAGATCCAAGACCATGTAGTACAAATACTAACTCCTCCAGAAAACTTTGCTGTAATTATATATATTTACTTAATGTTCAATATGCGGCAGGCTCTGTCATTAAATCCTCCTGGCAACACTGTTAGGTAAGTACAATATTATCCTCCATTTCATAGATGAAGAAGAGGCTCAGAGAGGTAAATAATTTAACATTAAACCTGCAGTAAATGTAAGGACTGGGTTTTGAACCCATTAAGTCCATGTACTTAATAACTACTTTATAGCCATGAATACATGAATGAGCGCCTCATCTACAGAGAATTTCTGAGGTGTCATTTAGACTTTTATCAGATTATACCTGTCATTCTTCCATGTTTAAATTCTAAATCCCTAAGTGTTTCCATTACCCATTATTGCACAAATCACCTTTACATCACAAAATAAACATTTACTTGTTATATGGTATAGTCCAGGCCCTGTCCTAGGCATTGGTAAAACAAAGAAGAATAGAAGAAAGCCCCATTTCTGGTAGACTAACTGGAACACAGTGTAGGAATAACAGGTGGTACTGTGTGGGAGCAGCATGCAGTGACCCACTATGTCCCTGAGAGAAGCTAAAAAAGGCTTCATGGAAGTAACACATGAGCTGGAATGCAAAGGACAAGCATAGATTCACCAAGCAGAAAAGGGAAGAAAAGCCATTTCAGTTAGAGGGAAAACACTTTGCAGAGGTGTGAAACTGCAAGCATATGGTCTTTTAGGTGAAAAGCAAGACTTCATAGAGAAGTTGGAGTTGGCAGTGTCCCAGAGGAGACAGAAAAACGAAGCCTTGCCCGACAGGCTGAATACAGACAGGGAAGCGTCTTATATGCTGCGGGAAAGAAACAGGGTTCACCCTACAGGTGATGGTGGAGCTGTTAGAAAAGCAGCATGACACAGTCAAAAAAAAACACCACCAACAGACAGATATGGGTCTGACTCTTCCTTATACCACTTACAGGGAAGCTGGTTTTCAGCAAGGTACATAATTTCCCTAAACCACAGTTTCCTCATCTGCAAAACATAGATAACATATTCCTCATGGGATTGTTGTAAGGTGTGAATGAATACATTATCCCTCTATATGAAACATCTGGTATAAAACAACTGCTCAACACATGCTGGTTGCTTTCACCACTGGGGGTTAGAACCCCTCTAGAACTTGATTTCCCTTTAACTGAAAGGTAGAAATCCTAAAAAGCAGAATCCATTAAAAACTTGAAAGCCAGAGATGGTCCCTGTATCCCTCAGTCTCAGCACAGAGCTTAATACTTTGTGAGTAAATTTATTCATTCCACAGGTTTTATTGGTCAGCAACAACGTGCCAGGTCTTGACCTAATGCCAGGCATACAATGGGCCAAGCAGACAAAAACCCTTGTCCTTGTGGAGCTTTCATTTGGGAATGGGAGGCTAGAAGCTGGGGAAGATAGATAATATGCATTAATAGGTAAATTGTATCATCTATTAGAAAGTGATAAGTGCAATGGAGGAAAATTAAATAGGGTACGAGAGATGAGTGCTAGCAAGTAGGATGGTCAGGGCAGGCCTCATTGAGAAGATACCGTTTGCTCAAAGACTTAAAGAAATAAGGGAGTGAGCCATGCAGATATGGAGAAAGAACATTCCGGAAAGAGGGACCATGAAGCGCAAAGTCCCTAAGGCAGCAGTGTACCTGGTGTATCCAAGGAGAGCAGGCAGGCCTATGTGACTAGAGCTGATTAAGAAGAGGGAATACTATGGAAGGTAACATCAGAGAGGTATCATGGCCAGATCTGCTAGGGCTCTAATTCTGAGGGTGATGGAAAACTACTGGAGGGTTTAAGCAGAAGAGTGACAAGGTCTGACTGGAGTTAGAAAAAGCTCTCTCTGGCTGATGGGAAGCAAAGGTGAAGACAGTGTCACCAATAATAAGACCTCTGTAGTAACCCAGGCAGAAGACGGTGTCTTGGACTAAGGTAGTAATGGTGGAGGCAATGGTGATACATTTGAAGGTAAAGTCAACAACACTTACTGGCAGTGCATGTGGAGTGTCAGAAATAAAGGAGTCATGGATAACCTCAAAGTATTTGGTCTCAATAACTGGAAGGATGAAGCAGCCACAACCTGAGAAGGTGATGACTGGGTGAGTAGTAGGGGGGAGAGGCATTAGAAATCAGTTTTGGAACACATCTCACATATAGTATTTGTGAGACATCCAGCTGAAGATGCTGACTAGGCAACTGGGTGAGCAGGTTTGAGCTCAGGGAGGTCTAGACTAGAGATATGAATTCGGGAGATGTCTGCAAATACACAGTGTTTAGAGAGGTGAGACTAAATGAATGAACAAACATTAACTTTGAAGTCACAGAACGCTGGGTTTGACTCTTGGCACTGACAACAGTTGTGTGACCTTACACAAGCATCTTTAAATTTTTTCTGAATTCCTTTTCCCCTGAATGAAATGGTATGATAAAACCCCTACCTTAGGGGCCAAGGCAGGCTGATCACTTGTGGTCAAGAGTTCGAGACCAGCCTGGACAATATGGTGAAACCCCATCTTTATTAAAAATATTTTTAAAAATTAGATGGGCGTGGTGGCACACACCTGTACTCCCAGGTACTCGGGAGGGTGAGGCACAAGAATTGCTTGAACCCAGGAGGCAGAGGTTGCAGTGAGCTGAGCTTGTGCCACTGCACTCTGTCTCGAAAAAAACGCCTACCTTAGGGATCTACATGAATATACAAAGCACCTAGAAGGTACCTAGTACCTGCCGAGCTTTCAAATGATGCTGACTTTATCAGGCTTTTAAGCAAATGAGTGATGTTAACAAATTTGTTTTGTTGGAAAGATACCCTCATGCAAGCCAATCCCTGCCACTAAAACGAAATTCCATCAGATATGTAAATCAAAACTGCCAATGATCCCCTTTCTTTTCTTTATGAAGCCAAAGAAAAAAGACATCTAAGAGAGAAGGAAAGGGAAAAGGTAAGTGTTTAAGAACCGATCCCAGGGATGTGTACTGAGAAAGAACAACGTAGGTTGAAAACTAATGACAAGAGGCAGAGTGGTTCAAGATGCAGAGTAAGTCCTGGTCTTAGTAGTCCCTGATAAGAGTATGTCCTCTCAAAAACTCTCTGACCCTAAAAAATGCAAATGTAATTAAGGAAAACTGGCTAAAAAGTTAAGAAATACAGATCATTATCTTCATCTTCAGGCAAAACAGGCATTAATACTCAACTGGAATCTGCAACTGAGAATGGAAATAATACTTGCTATCTCACAGGGGTGTGGTGATGTTATTTTGCAAGTTTGGACTTAAAAATTGATAGCACTAATAATAAAATCTGAGGAACTGAAGTAACGTTTATGAAATAATCTGAGGGATTGCAATGAATAGCAACATCTTTGTCTTATGATGGTGTAGACAATCACTTCTTCACCTTGGGAGATGAGGTCAGGCTCCCTTTAGACCCCATTTATGACAAGCTTCCATTGGTTAAAGGCAATTAAACAATATAGGAAACTCCCTGACCTCTTCTGAGAAGGCTTGTTGACTTGGGAATATGAGGCAGTTGTCACAAAAGTAATTTATGTTTAATCAAGTAAATATTTCTTGACCTGAAAATTTAATTTGGCTCAAACATGACTTCTTCAAATAGCAGACAGAATATTCTTAGGCCACAATGGAAAAACTGAAAAGGAATAGTCTCAAAGGTCCCAGCAACACATACCAATGCTTGCTTCATTAGTCATTATTTTCATCAACACCAATTTCTAACAACAACTCTAAGACTATAAGCAAAAATAATTCATCTTTATTCCTCCACTGGGAGGCTTTAAGTCAAAATAAAAAATTACTAAGACTGAATACATTTTCCTCCCCCAAATTGCTGTAATCAGACGTGAGGAAGTAGAGAGCTAGAAAATATCCAAAGATTATTAATAGCATGTGTTTTGTGATGATTCAATGAAAACTCATTATTACATGTCTATTTAATCCTTTATGGATTACATTAGTTCTAAAACAAAAAGGTGAATTGTTTTATGTGTTGCAATGAGGTTCAAAACATTACTTAATCCATTCCTAAACAATTATATTAAAAACTTCAAGTAAAAAAATTATGTATGAATTACAATCATGATGAAAGAATATATATAGAGTGGAACCACTATGCTAAAATATATTATACAGTTAACATAAAGGACCTAGAGATTATGTCAAATCTCATTTTAATATTTAATTGCATGAATTTTCCCTTAAAGGAAAAAAACCTCTAACTGGATCAAAGATTCAAAAGTAAAAAAGGAAAGCACAAAAGTACTAAAAAGAAAGGTGGGAGGTCTATATATTTTTTTAAAATCTTGGAGAAGGCAAGTCACAAAACAAAAGCCATAAATGAAAAATTTATAAATCTGACTACATGAAAATTTAAAATGTCTACAAGAGTGAAGAATGCCATAAGGAAAAAGACACATTGAAGAACTCACTGGCAATCATGCCACCGTGTTTGGAATTATATTTAATAGGGAATAAAGACAGAGTGATACTCGTCTAATCTCTGTCTTTTAATATCTTATACTTCCCACTTCATTATAATTAATAATCAAGGTACACTCTAGCCCAGACAGAGGCAATAAAACAGTATAAATTGGATGACTCTTTTGGAGAGTAATTTAGTCATTTGACCTTTAAATTTATAAACTGATCTATCAACTCCATTTTGGGGAATTTCTGCTGCAAATATATTTGTGTATATTCACAAAGACTTGTAATAGCCCAAACTGAAAATAGCCTAGTAGTTCCATCAGTAGAGAATTATTTAAATAAACTGTAGTATGGTCATACAAAAGACTACTAGAAGCTGTTTTTAAAAAGAAAGTAATTGATCTAAAGATAGTCTCTACATCTTTTTTAAACACTTGATTAAAAAAGCAAAAACTCAAATAATACAAAAGTGTGGACTGTAAATTCCTGTTTGTGTAAAATAAAGAGGAGAAAATACGTATGTGTATTTATTATGCAAGAATATTTCTCAAAGGTTATGTAAGGTCATCCACATTCCTTGGCTTGTGGCCCTCTCTCTCCATCTTCAAACCCAGCAAAGGCAGGTTGAGTTCTTCTCATATCGCATTACTCTGACCTCTTCTGCCTTCCTCTTCGACATTTAAGGACCCTTGTGATTACACTGAGCCTACCTGGATAATTCAGCATAATGTCCATATTTTAAAATCAGTCTATTATCAACCTTAATTCTGCCTGGTTTAAACCTTAATTTCCCTTTGCCATTTAATATAACATATCCACAGGTTTCAGAGATTAGGACATGGACATAGAGATTTTTGGGGGCCATTACTGTGTTTACCACAGGTATGGGTACACAGTTCAGGGAAAGAGGCTTTCTTATTTTTCTTTAAGGCAAAATATGCTTTATTGAAATACCCTATGCAGCGAATACATATATGCAGAGAGAAGGGGCATTTATATGTGAAAAGTGATCTTATATATAGATATATAAGATAGATGTCAAAAGTAATAAAGCAAATGGGAAACAATTTATAGGAAAACATGAAAAAGAAGAAAACATTCCAGTTAGCACCAAGCATTAATCAAATAATTTCTCCCAGTAGCAACCACTTTGCAGACCTTCATTCTTTGCTAATATTAATCCTTTAAAAGTATCCATACCACTGTCTTATAGCTCTGGCTAATTTAGTGACTGTAACATGGTTTTTTGGCACTAAACATCTCTAGGCTTCACTGGAAGAGAAAAGCAGAACACTCCAGTAATAGCAGAATTTGCAATGAATAACCAATCAATCTGCTTGCTCATCTACTAGAATTACATTCATTCTCAGTGTAGAAAAATGAACATGTGGTAAAGATTCAATTCTACATTGCCAGATGACACATCTCGAAACTCCTTACATGAAAATCAGCTGATATCCTTGCACAAACATCACTCAGGCTTTCTTGTTCATGTTGAGGGCCCTCACACCACAAGACAGATACAGCCCTGAAGCGCTGTTCCCCAGAGAAATCCTTAAACATTCTACAAAGCACCATCTACCAATGGTAACTTTTACTCAATCCAGAGAAAAGGAAAGCAAAGGGGTAGATAGTGAAGGAAGTAGGGAAGAAGAGAGGCAAAAAGGTGAATAATAAGGTTTGATGGGATGTGTATGTGTGTAGTTCCATGGAATAAGTTCTACAGAATGAAATTAGTAAAGAATATTCTTCAAGATAGTAGATTAATTCAGAGTTAATTGTGGACCCTTTTGGCAATGACATTATTGCATAGATTATTTTAAATGCAAATATGGAAGCCTAAATATATCAGCAACCTGGCCTCCCAGTAAATGTTTTTCCCAAGAGGAATTGGACCAATCAGCACTTCATAGTGACCAACAAGTACAACTAGACCCAGTGGCAAAGAAATGAATTGGATCACTAGATGAATCCTTAAAAAGCTTTACCCATGACCATCCCCTAAAGAATTACTATGAAGCAACCTGCTCCGTTGAAATGTGCTGCCCAGAGAGGGTATTTACTATGCGAAGAGCAAATATATACCTACCCACTAAACATGTATTGAACACTAGGAAGGCAGTGTATTAGGGGATTTACATTATACGTAGATATACAGATATCTGTAAAAGGGTGTGTGTGTGTGTGTGTATGTGTGTATAAAATTTAGTGAATGTTTCTAACTCTTTTTTTTTTGAGACAGAATTTCGCTCTTTCACTCATGCTGGAGTGCAGTGGCTGCGATTTCGGCTCACTGCAACCTCTGCCTTCCAGTTTCAAGCAATTCTCCTGCCTCAGCCTCCCAAACAGCTGGGATTACAGGCGTCTGCCACCAAGCCTGGCTAACTTTTGTATTTTTAGTAGAGAGGGGGCTTCACCATGTTGGCCAGGCTGGTCTTGAACTCCTGACATCGTGATCCACCCACCTCTGCCTCCCAAAGTGCTGGGATTACAGGCGTGAGCCACCGAGCCCAGCCTCTAGCTCTGTCTTTAAAGCAGAGTGCCCTGCTCAAGAAATGTAAGATTTTATGATGATTAATAACATCCAAATCCTACCTGACTGAATTTCTTACAATGAACTGTTTTCATGTGCAAGCATGATGGCTCTTCTTGGGCTCTTCTAGCTTCCATGACAGATTATTTCCCTTGGGACACCTGTCCAAGATTTGCAAGATGCTTGGCCAGGCAAGAGAGTCTGATTTGCGACTACAGAAGATGTGGGATAACTGGCCCAGAATGAGTTCAAGTCAGACTTACCAAGATCTCAGCCTAAGCAAGGGTGCTACACACCCTACTGGGAAGTACTGAAGTGCAGTGTAGAGAGGAGGGATTTGTTTTCAGCCACCTTAACATAAAAAACATAAATTTTTAAAAATAAAATAAAAAGATGTATTTTTCCTACATAAAAGGCAGAAAGCAAATGATATTAGTGCATTCTTCCATGTCTTTACAAATTCAGAGTTTGGATAAAATTTTTTTTTTTTTTTTGCTTTTACAGACAGGGTCTCACTCTGTCGCCCAGGCTGGAGTTCAGTGATGCCATCAGGGCTCACTGCAGCCTCGACCTTTCAGGCTCAAGTGATCCTCCCACCTCAGCCTCCTGAGTGGCTGGGACCACAGGTACATGAGACCATGCTCAGCTAATTTTTTATTTTTTGGTAGAGACAGGGTTTCCCTATGTTGCCCAGGCTGGTCTTGAACTCCTGGCCTCAAGCAATCTTCCTGCCTTGGCCTTTCAAAGTGCTGACATTACATGAGCCATCATACCCAGCCAATATTTTTAAATATATAGCAAAGAAGTACAAATTTCCAACATAACCTGGTAATAGGAAGCAGGTATCTTAAAGTTTGGCAAGCCTTTTGGCCTCCAATTCTAGTTCCAGGAATGTATCCTAAGGAAAAAAGCATGGTTACGTGCAAAGATTTAACCTGAAGAATGTCTGCCACATCTATTTATAGAGAAAAAAATGCAAAAAAAGAAAACCTAAGTAACCACTCATAAAGGATTAGCTAAAAAAATATGTTTCAAACTACAACAAAGTATTCTGTGGCTGTTAAATTCAGTATTATGAAAAGTATTTATTAAATATTATTAAATGAAAAAAGGCAGATTGTAAGTAATATATATAAAATAATATCCTTTTACACAAATCACTCAAAAACTGTAAGACATATTAAGAGAAGATATCATTGAGTGGAAGGATTTGGATGTTATTAATCATCATAAAATCTTTCATTTCTTGAGCAGGGCACTCTGCTTTAAAGACACAGCTAGAAACGTTCACTAAATTTTATACACACACTCCCCCCTTTACATATATCTGTGTATCTGCCTATAGTGTAAATCCCCTAATACACTGCCTTCCAAGTGCTCGATACATGTTTATCCACATTTATACTTATATAACTATGCATTCAACACTTACTATATGTGGAGCACTGTACTAAGCATATATTTACATATGCTGTCTCATTTACCTTTACAGCAAGTTTATGAGCAGAATATTGTCCTCAATTGAAAGATTATAAAATTGCCCAAGATGACTAGCCCAGTCAAGGGCAGAACCAAAATCAATCCCAATCTGTCTGACTTCATAGCTCAGATCCTTCTTTTTCTTCTTCCTTCCTTTTTTATTGGTATTAAGACATCCACAATGAAAATGAACTCTGACATGTTAAAAAAAATTGCTTTAGACACTGGAAAGATTAAAATGCTGTTGTGTTCTAAAAAATAGCTCTCACCCTAGCATTAAGAAATGACAGCATCACTAGGTGTTAATCAATACCCAACAGAGAAAAAGTAGTATTAACAAGGTAGACTAAAACTACCCTGCATAGGTTAATGCAGGAACCAAGAGTGAACAAGCCTTTCCCAGCAGTAGGAACTGTCACAAACCCTACAATTTGCTGTGGTCCCTTTATTTAGTGTACTGGGAGTTTTTGCCATTAGCTTGGGAATGACCTTTAGTAATGAAGATGACTCCAGGAAAATTACAGAAAATTATTCTTTAAAAAGTTATCACATTGGATCTATCTTTTTATTGTCAAACATCTACCATCAGATTTTTTTTCAGTTAAGGCTATAGCAATAAAAAGTCCAGCCCCTTCTCCTAAGCAGTCCCCTTTAAAGAACACAGCTTATATCAAGATATCAATCATCAACATCTCCACACACTGAGCACAATTATCTGGACCAATTATTTCACCGCAGATTTAAATTATTTCCCAAAGCATCCACTGGCCATTGAGAAGAGAGCTTACAGGTTGGGAAGCGATGAGCTAAACCATAATGTCAGATACTGGATTTAATCCTATCCAGAAATAATTTCACAAAATTCAAGATGATGCTATTTGCCATATAATCGGAAGTCTCATTTGATCCCTCACACATTCAGAAGCATAGGCTAGCAGTAAAAGACCTTGGGGAACACGAGAACAATAGAAAAAAAAGTCTTTATGTGCAACACAATGTGCTGAACATATAATGGATCATTTTAATAGTTTCATGAAAACTGAATAAAACATATTCTCACCAGCCCCAATAGGACAATGTGAAAAGATCACAGCACTCCCGTATCTCAATTCTGAAAGAAAAGGTCTATTTGTAACTCAGGTTACAAGGTGATGTTAGATGCCATGGCCAACCTTTTTGGATCAGTCTTTTGCCATTAGCTCATCTGTTTTGTACCTCATTCTAATTGATTGCATTTGACTGCCTTCTTTCTTTAAATGGCATCATAAAATCCTTTCCTCATCAGCCTGAAATTGCCTCTCCTTGGGAAGCTTTTGTGGTAGGGCTGTGCATTAAGGGCATAACATAAAAATGTAATACTGCATATTTTCATATGAAATACAAGGTCACAGGACCTTCCTCCCAAATGCTAAATTATCCTAATCACCAGTATAAAATACCAATGTTTAGGGGGAAGACTGCCTCACAAAACGTGGCTCAGGCAACTGCTCCGGTTGTCCATGCGACTTCCATGGCAGCTGTTCAGGGCAGAGCTGCTCTCTCCACTTGTATTGCCAGCATTCCTAGAGCCACAATGCTGGGTCCAACCTGTGGCTTTTTACTTGTGTTAGAGAAGGAGGAAGCTTATTAGGAAGCACACCTGCTGAATTCTGTAAGCGGCCTTTAGGCTGAAGCGCTGAAAGAAAAAAAGTCTGAAACTGTTATCACACCTACTCATACCCCTAGGAAAGGATTTGAAACTGAGTTTAGATTGAGAGATTCAAGCAACTAGGGCTTTCTACCAAAATGCAGAGCATTTTATTATGATGCAAATATCTCATAATACCAAGTGGGCAGCCAAATCCAAAAGTATATGATATCATATCATACCATATGTATATGATATATCATACCATGGGAATATGATATATGGCTACCCCAGTGAAAGACAATTGCCACCTAAATGCCCCTGTCCCTGCTTCCTTTCTCTTTTTAACATGGTTCTCCCAAAAGGGGCCTTAAATTATCATATCTCATTTGCACAGTAGCTGGATAGAAAACAAAAAGTGCAGAGCCTAGCACTGCTGTTTACCCAGGCTTATTCCTACTGTCAATTCTCAAAATCAAATAAACAAAATAAAAGCCCAGTCAGCTAAATACGTAAAATATTCAGTCGTTTCCTGACCAGATTAACCAGTTCCACTGATCATGATAAATGTCATGTTATCCCTTATTCCAGACATTATGTTTTTGAGGGCCACACACATTACAAATGATAAAATATTCTGCATCATTTGGGCTGACAGCCAGTCACTTGTAGCAGTGACCTGATTGCCTGCAGAGGACTGGTCACCATTAGGGAGGTGGCTAACTGCATGAAAGACAAAATAGAAATGTTAGTGCTTCAGGAACAAAGAGTTCCAATAAAACACAGGAAAGTCAAAACTTAATATGCGGAGTAAGCTTGCCAAACAGTACCAAACAATTCGGGAGATTTATTAAACAGCTAGTAACTATTTCACTTGTCAGCCTCAGACTCCACAAATGCACCCAGGTCAGAAAAAGAAAAACCAGTTACCTCAGGCTTATAACGCTAATATCCTAAGAAACCTCCAGAATCAGTTGTGAAATAGTAATAAAGCTATAAACTTCTTGTATACTTCTCAAGAATTCCCAATCATCTGGTCGTTCATATTATCAGCAAAAATTTATTGATTCATATTAGATCCTGAACTAACGTATTCTTTAAGAACCATCTATCCTACAAAAAAATGTATTCACTCAGGAAAAAAAAAAAGACTGATTCTAATTTTTAAAGCTACAAATTAGAGTACATTCAATGCCAAAGAAGAGGAGAAATTAACTCTATAAACCTAACTCAGTTTTATCTACTTAAAAATGTGAGGTAGAGAAAATTCCAAAAATATTCATGAAAACCAATGTCCTCCTGCTGGCAGCAGTGGTTATAATGGAGATATTTCCCTTATTAAAAATGAAAAAGCCTTAAAAAAAACTTTAATCAAATTGCTGTGATGAGAAAGGTTCTGACAGCTATGAAATTGACTCAGTTAAAATTTCTACTATATATGCGTGTTTTACTTTAAGCAAATTAGATGTACCAAATAGAATTTGAATTTGCAGATGAATTATTTGCTTTTGAAAGAAGTCTGCCACCCCTCAAAAAAATTAAAAATAGAAAATGTTTCTTCCATTCATTTGAAACAGTCTACTGACAAAAGAAATCAATGCACAATTTCAGGAAACAAAGGCGAGCCATATTCTGCATCCCTGAATTATTGTTCCAGCCTGACACCACACACAGCTGGTGTTACTCAGACTCCACTTCCTCAACAAGAGAGGCTGGAAAAGGTCAATTTAATATTAAAAACAAACAGACTATAGTCAGGTGTGCAGCTGGTAATTCCAGAGCATATGAAGACCCAAGCACTCAGGGACCTGTGTATTTTATATCTTTAAAAAAAAAAAAAAAAAAAAAACTGCCCAGCTTGCCAGTCCTCTGCATGGAATTAAATGTAAACATGGTCTTGGCCTCATGAAAGTCTGAAGGAAAATTATTCATGTTGCGACACCACAGTAAAAGTTTTTCATTCTAAGCATAAGTCTTGGAGGGTAGCAATGCTGTTTCCGGATCACCCTTACACAACTAAACAAAACATCTTGGATGCATGTTAGTATAAATCCTAAAAGAAACAAACCAGAAAGTAAACTCTTAGGTGTATTATTTCCCTTCTTACATAGTGATAACTCTGTCCATCCCAATTAAAAGTCAAAAAGGGTTTATGAAATTCCTCAGCGAAGAAAATTCCACTTAATCCATCTAAATGGAGGTCAAATAATGCAAAGCATGCTATGACATCTATATCAAAATATCATAAAGCTTTTTAAAAAAAGAACTTATATGCATGACTTTAAGTAAATCTAACAAAGCTACAGACATATAAATTAGATAAACCAATGAGTGATTATTAGTATTTAGAGTCTCCTTAAATATTAAGTTAAAATATGATACCATTACAAGGGTATAAATTCCATTCACATTTCAGACATTTTCATGAATAAAGAAAAGGTATTGACCTTATTGTGTTTAATAAGCAAGATACTCTGAGAGATGAGACTAAATATTAGGTGAGGTGAGCATAAAACCTAGAACCACTGATGTTCTGTCTTTAAATAACTTTTAACCCCTCCCACATCATAGATTTTCATACAGCAAATGTTTAAATGGGCATATTGAATGCAATTGGAAGGATAAGCAATAACATAAATGACTAATATAATAATACCTAATAACAGTAGGTAGCATTCATTGAGCCTTTACTAGGCAACAAATATTTTAAGGCATTTAAAACTCACAGCAGGCCAGGCACAGTGGCTCACACCTGTAATCTCAGCACTTTGGGAGGCCGAGGCAGGAGGATTGCTTGAGCCCAGGAGTTCAAGACCAGCCTGGGCAATAGAGCAAGACTGCCTCTACAAAAAATAAAATATTAGCAGGGCATAGTGGTGTGCACCTGTGGTCCTATCTACTTGAGATGCTGAGGTAGGAGGATCACCAAGAGCCCAGAGGTTGAGGCTGCAATGAGCTGTGATTGTGTCACTGCTCTCAAGCCTGGGTGCAGAGTGAGGCCCTGTCTCTAAACAAAAAAAGGAAGAAGAACAACAACAATAAAAACGACCTCATAGCAGCTCCATGACACAGTATAAGCCTACTTTACAGGGTAAGAAACTGAAGCCAGAGAAGTTAATCTACTCAAGGTCGTGCAGCTAGTAGAATGAGCATTTCAGTCTATTGACTGACTCCAGAGCATGTAAACCAGAAGAGATGCTCCCTCCATTATAAAGTACAACAGAACATTAAAAAATACAGGATGAGGCTCGGCGTGCTGGCTCACGCCTGTAATCCCAGCACTTTGGAAGCCTGAGGCAGGTGGATCAACTGAGGTCAAAGGTTCGAGACCAGACTGGCCAACACAGTAAAACCCAGTCTCTACTAAAAATACAAAAATTAGCTGGGCATGGTGGCGGGCACCTGTAATCCTAGCTATTTAGGAGGCTGAGGCAGGAGAATCACCTGAACCCAGGAGGCAGAGGTTGCAGTGAGCCAAGATTGCACTACGACACTCCAGCCTGGGCAACAGAGCAAGGCTCTGTCTCCAAAAAGAAAAAAAAAAAAAAGCATGTATACAAACAGTAATACAAATCAATATAAAGCAGACATGCATGAATTATAATTTCATTCATCTCATCCCCTTAGAATGTAAACTGCCAGACGACAGGAACCAAACTTAATAAGTTTTTCCATTTAAAACAATTTTTTCTCATTATTTGCCATTTGTACATTCAATGCTGCCATTTCTATTCTAGCTTGTACTTTATTTTATATCAAATATATACACAGCATGTTGATGCTGCTATGTAATGTGTTCCTGGTATGGAAATCTTCAAAAATAATTAACCTATCAATTGCTTATCATGTGCCATTAAAGGCTTGCCATTTTACTTATTTCATTTAAGCATTACAACAATCCCATGAGGTTAATATTATCCCCATTTTACAGATGAACAAACTGAAGCTAACAGATAAGATGCCCAAAGCAACATAGTAAAACTAGACCCCCTTATCTGCCTGACCCAAAGCCCAGGTTCTTAAGCACTGCGTTATATATTTACAATAAAAATAACTAACAGAGTAGGCCTGCCTGGAACTAACTTAGAAAAAGGGTGAGAAAGTCAGCATAGATGAATCTATAATCCACTAAGTATATTCACCCTTGCAGCTTTCAAAAGACTACACTAATTAACTAGAGATTGTTGGAGGATTACTGCTTTATAAGCTGCCTAAAACAAAGGTGGATGAATATGTTTATAGATTCATATCTATTATGCACATACATAACATGCTGTTTCAGGTCAATTCAATCTCTATCAAACATGGCTTCAAGTTTAAGGACTTTGAAAATTACTGCAAGTAATGCCAAATAATTAGAAAAAGTTCTTAAAAAATAAATTTAAATTCAATTTAATTTTTAAAGGTGACAAATGTCATCCTGAATCTGTTTTTAGAGAAAAGTCTGGTTTCAGATCTCTTGATCATAAGGATCCATAGATTTATTAGAGTCTCAAAAAGGTCGATAACTCAACAGGACTACAGAACCAGCTTAATAAAAAAGGGGATCCTGTTTTTGAATATAAAAACTCATAAATTCAGACCTTTCTAATTAAAGAAATGTGAATATTTGGCAAGAACTGGAGTAAAATATATATAAATATAATAAAGTGATTTCCTAAGATACGACAAACAAGAGAAAGAACAAATGTTCTAAGGGCCATAAAAGTAGCATTTACATAAACATAATTTTTAAATGTTCTAAGTACAAAACCATTCTTTTTTTAATTTTAAAAATATTTTAACTAGGCCAGGCGTGGTGGCTCATTCGTGTAATCCCAGCACTTTGGGAGGCCGAGGAGGGCAGATCACTTGAGGTCAGGAATTCGAGACCAGCCTGGTCAACATGGCTAAACCTCATCTCTACTAAAAATACAAAAATTAGCCACACGTGGTGGCATTTGCCTGTAATCCCAGCTACTCAGGAGGCTGAGGCAGGAGAATTGCTTGAACCTGGGAAGCAGAAGTTGCAGTGAGCCAAAATCACACCACTGCACTCCAGCCTGGGTGACAAAGCAAGACTCCATTGCCAAAAAAAAAAAAAAAATATATATATATAGATAGATAGATAGATATAGATATAGATATAGATATAGATATAGATATAGATATATGCATATATATACACACATATATGCATATATATACACATATATGCATATATATACACATATATGCATATATATACACATATATGCATATATATGCATATATATGCATATATACACATATATACATATGTGTGTATATACATATATATGCACATATACACACATATATACATATATATGCACATATACACACATATATGCATATATATGCACATATACACACATATATGCATATATATGCACATATACACACATATATGCATATATATGCACATATACACACATATATGCATATATATGCACATATACACACATATATGCATATATATGCACATATACACACATATATGCATATATATGCACATATACACACATATATGCATATATATGCACATATACACACATATATGCGTATATATGCACATATATACACATATATACACACATATACACACACACACACATTTATTTTAGGTTCAGGGGTACATGTGCAGTTTTGTTATATAGGTAAACTCGTGACTCAGGGGTTTGATGTACAGATTATTTTGTCACCTCAGTAATAAGCGCAGTACCCAAAAGTTTTTTGTGGGTTTTTTTTTTCTGAACCTCTCCCTCCTCCCACCCTCCTCCTTCAAGTAGGCCCCAGTGTTTGTTATTACCCAATTTCTGTCCATGTGTTCTCATTATTTACGTCCCACTTAAAAGTGATAACATGCAGTATTTGGTTTTCTTTTCCTGTGTTAGTTTGCTAAGGATAATGGCCTCCAGTTCCATCCATGTTCCTGAAAAGGACATGATCTTGTTCTTTTTTATGGCTGTATAGTATTCCATGGTGTATATGTACCACATTTTCTTTATCCAGTCTACCTCTGATGCACATTTAGGTTGATTCCATGTCTTTGATATTATGAATAGTACTGCAGTGAACATATGCATGCATGTGTCTTTATGGTAGAATTACTTGTATTCCTTTGAGTATATATCCAGTAGTGGGGTTGCTGGGTTGAATGTTAATCCTGTTTTTGGTTCTTCGAGGAGTTGCCACACTGCTTTCCACAATGGCTGAACTAATTTACACTTCCACCAGCAGTGTATAAGCGTTCCCTTTTCTCTGCAACCTCACCAGCATCTGTTATTTTTGACTTTTTAATAATGGCCATTCTGACTGGTATGAGATGGTATGTCATTGTGGCTTTGATTGGCATTTCTCTAATGATTAGTGATATTGACCATTTTTTCATATGCTTGTTGGCTGCATGTATGTCTTCTTTTGAAAAGTGTCTGTTCATGTCCTTTGCCCACTTCTCAATGGGGTTGTTTTTTGCCTGTATGTATAAACAATTCTAATCTATTTGTTAAGACATACCCTCAAAAGACTTCTTCATGACAACATCTGTTTAGTGAAATCTCACTTTCCAGGTTATTTAAGATTTTTACAAGTGCAAATAATTCCTCCAAATTCAAATTAATGATGCTTTACTAATACCACCACTTTTACATTTACTATATGTTCCCTAGAAACATATATTCAGTGGGTAATATAAGTCATTCCACTCCAAATAAGTATTCTTCTATCAATGAAAAATAACCTATTCTTTTAATTTTATAACTGGTTTCACCATTGTGAGAGAAATTAAAGACCTAAATTAAATGACAAATATACCATGTTCATGAATTGCAAAACTTAATATTGTTAAAATGTCAAACCTCCCCAAGTTACTTTATAGATTAAATATACTCTCAATCAAAATCCCAGGTCTTTTTTTAGAAATTGACAAGCAAATTTAAAAATGCATAGGGATATGAAAGGATCAAATATAGCCAAAAGAATTTTGAAAAAGAACAGACTTGGAGGGCTTACACTACCTGATCATAAAGCTATACAGTAATAACAATTATAGTATTGGCCTAAGGATAAATATACAGATCCCTAGAATAAAATAGACTAGAAATATAGGGTGAACTGACTTCTGATAAAGTTGCCAATTCCATGGAGAAATGACAGTCTTTTCAAGAAATGGTGCTAGAAGAAGTGAATATTCATTTCACTAAAAAAAAAAAATGAACATTTACCATTACCTCATATTACAAACAAAAATGTACTAAAGATGGATCATAGCACACATAGAAGCAAAACACATAAAACATCTGGAAGAAAATACAGGAGAAAAATATTCGTGACAATAACATAAGCAAAATATTTTTACATAGGACAGAAGAAATTGATAAACTGGACTTCATCAAAATTAAAAACTTAACATTATTAAGAAAATAAAAAGGAAAGCTACAGACTATAAGAAAATATTGTCAATACATACACCTGACAAAAGATTTGTATCAAAATATATGAAGAACCTTCAAAACTCGGTAATAAGAAGACAACCTCATTTTTAAAACAGGCAAAGGATTTGAACAAACACAACGAAAGAAGATACACAAATGGCCAAAAAGAACATGAAAAATTGTTTAATATGATAAGAATGAAAGACATGCAAATTAAAATCACAATATACCATTACACACCCACAAAATTGGCAAAAATTAAAAAGACTGACAATACTAAATGTTGGCAAGAATTTGAAGCAAGTGAACTCCCATCCATTGCTAGTGGGAATGTAAAACGGTATAACCACTTTGGAAAATGGTTTGGCAGTTTCTCAACAATGGCATGCCTAGGTATTTACCTAAGAGAAATGAAAACATATGTCCACATAAAGAAATATACACAAATATTTATATATGCAGCATATATATTTATAGCTATATATTTAACATACAAAATATGTGTTAATTATCCATGTTATCGGTAAGATTTACAGTCAAGAGTAGGCTATTAGTAGTTACGTTTTTAGTGGTAAAAGGTCATGTGGATTTTCAACTGTGCAGGGATCAGAGCCTCTAACCCCTAAGTTGTTCCAGGGTCAACTGTATAGGCATTCCTGCCCACAACCCCAGCTGAGCCCTAAGTCAACAGCTAACCTCAACTGATAGTATATGCCAGAGCTATCCTGGAGATCTAGTTCAGGTGAGCCTTTAGATGACTACAGCACTGACAGAAATCTAACTGCAAGAGACCCTTCATGAGAACCACCAATGGAGTCCAGTCAACCCACAGAACTGTGAAAGATAATAATACATAATTGTTTTAAACCAGTATGTTTTGAGGTAGTTTGTTGTGTAGCAATGGGTAACTGAAACATCATTATACCAACACAAGACCTAGGAAAGTTTCAGATGAGAAATTCAGACTTCTGAGACAAGTCCGGGCTTGGACCATCCATGCGTACCACCAGGCCAGACCCTACCAAAGCCTCCCCCTGAAAACTAGGTGTTCTAGAAGAAGCCAGAGGTGGAGGAGGTAGTAAAGAATACCCCAATGGAGTCACTGTGATTTCCTAATCTATACGCTTTACAATCGGGCTTGCTACTGCCCAAAATATGCCAAAAGCCTCAATCTTAACAGTCTGAAATGCTCACAAAAAAAAGTAAAATAATTTTTCTAGTTCCTGAAATTATATCAGTATTGCAAGCAAACAATTCTCAATTTTCATGCTGTACATAAACTGATGATTATTAGTAACTCATTATTTTTACTTAACCTTTAAGAATGGTAAGCAAACTTAGATTAGACATAGTCAACTTACCAGTACATGGCAAATTATCAGTATATGGTAGTTTACCCACTAACAAATTTGGGCTTAGTAATAAAAGTCCATATGCTATTATTTTGTTTGGGTCATTTGTTCCTGCTCTGAAGGATGACAAGAGCTGATTACTGGCATGTTTCTGACATGTACCCATTATGTGTGATAAACTCCTTGGCCTAGAAAATTTTATTAAACTCAATATTAACACCCTACAAGCCCACACATCATATTTTCAATGATATTACCTTACTCCACAGCAGATTCAAATTTTAAAGAACATGAGCACTTGATATATGCTAGGTACCCTGCTACACTCTGGGGATTTATTGTCAACTGATAGGAATTTCATTCAGAAGAGCCCAGTGGTGGCTCTGAATCATTAACACATTGACATTACTGAGAACCATAATGTGACACAGACTGGTGTGTTTATTTTATATCATTCATTCATTTTAGAGACAGGGTCTTGCTTTGTTACCGAGGCTTGTCTTCAACTCCTGGGCTCAAACAATCCTCATGCCTCGGCCTCCCAAAGTGCTGAGATTACAGGTATGGGCCACCATGTCCCGCCCAGAGTCTAAAGAGAGACATTTCTGGAACACTTAAGATTCTTAACTTTATTTTATTTATATTTTATTTTTTTTTACTTTACTCTTTACTTTTTACTTTACTTACTTTACTTTACTTTACTTTACTTTACTTTACTTTTACTTTACTTTACTTTTCACTTTTGAGACGGAGTCTCACTCTGTTGCCCAGGCTGGAGTGCAGTGGTGTGATCTTGGCTCATCACAACTTCTGCCTCCTGGGTTCAAGCGATTCTCCTTCCTCAGCCTCCTCAGTGCTGGGACTACAGGCATGCGCCACCATGCCCGGCTAATTTTTGTATTTCAGTAGAGACAGGGTTTCACCATGTTGGCCAGGCTGGTCTCAAACTCTTGACCTTGTGATCCACCTGCCTTGGCCTCCCAAAGTGCTGGGATTACAGGCGTGAGCCACTGTGCCCAGCCCTTTATTCTTAATTTGGTAAGTATTTGTATGTTTATTTAAATATTTATGTGTCTATTACTCATACTTACATGGAAAACATTTGCACTGATGAAGTGTTCTGAGTGGACAACATTCCAACCTTTAGTGGCTGATGCTAATCCTGCAAGAGTGTCATGACCAATCAATGATGCTTGCCACAGGGCATCTGGCATTTGCCAACCCTGACCCATTTCACATTTCATTAGTTTCATACAGTCTCCTCCCCTCAAACCTCCTATTGGGTCCCTTAAAATATTCCCATCATACAACTTCCAGTCTTCACCCAGCCTTAAGAAGTGACATCTCTCTTCAGCCAGTATTTTCCACTGCTGGACTCTCTCTCCACAAACACCCCTTGATAAGCCCTACCCTGGCAGATATCCAGGCCCCCAAAGGCCAGTTCCCCTAACACAGAGAGTTCATTGGATAAGTCACACTGTAAGCTTAGATGGTAGATGGTTAAACCCTGGTAGTACACGGTAGAGCCATGATATGAATCCAAGCAAGTGAAAGCCAGAGTCTCTGCAATTAGTTGCTGCATCTGGCATGTGGTTGCTGCCATTTCTAAACATGCATTAAATTGCATATTCATTTTTTTGCTCATAAGTATCTGAATTAATTACTAATACAAATAAAATATATTGAAAATCTTATTATTTACTATTCTAGCACAGTAAATGGGACCTTTTAAATAATATAGCATTTGTGCATTTTCTTGTTAAAAACATTAATAATTATGTTAACTCATGCTTTATATTGACTAGGAAAAAATGGAAGGATATCAATACTCTTCAAAAAGGAATAAAAAATGACTATACAATTTATAGTCTATAAATGACTATACAATTTGTAATGTCCATATAGTCTCATATTGAAAATTTAACAGTATTTGAACATAAATTAATGCAGTGACTATTATTAATGTTTAAAAAATACACATGATCAATGACTTTTCCAGCTCAGAATCCATAACAACAATGAATCCTATTCACATCCTGTGTAACTCCAAGGGGATGCTATGGGGAAAGTTTCCATATATGGTAATTTTCCCCATAGACTCCCCACAGTTTATACAGGATATGAATCTGGTCCATTGTGACAATGAAAACAACAAATCACTGAAGACTCACATGTAATTTTTTTTCTGAACAAACTACAGACTAACAAATAGACCAATACTGAAGGGAAAATAAGAAATCTGAGGATTTAAAAATAACCATTGCATATTTTTACTCCATTTCTGTACTAGTATATAAATATGCAGAAGAAAAAAATTTCCTTATTTACTTTAAAATATTATCTTGATACTAAAAATTACAATGTCAACTACTAACAGCCAAGGAACTCAAACGGAAATTTCACATCAGAATGTGTGTTATCAGAAAAAAAGAAAAAGTGATATGGTAAGATGAGTCAAATACATTACATGAGTTTTACTTTTTCAAGCTCCTGTATGACTATGTTCCAGTATAATGCCTATAATCCATAATTATTTTTCCATGTTTGTGACTTCAGCAGTCTGTGGTTTTCTACTTATCTAATGTCATGCAATATTTTTCTTTTACATTCAATGCTCTAAGTGCAGACTTAGAGGTGGGTTTTTGTGCACATACTTAAGTATTTCTATTTTTGTTTTAAGATGAAAGCATCTAAAATCCGATGCAGCTAAATCTAATAACCAGATTAATGTTATTAATGGGAAAGGAAAATGGCTCATGTTCCTAAATTACCTAGTTTCATATGACAAATAATAATAAAAAGGAAAACCAAATAGAGTACTAAAATGCCAAACATACTAACAGCAAAAACAGCAGTCTCTGACACAATGATTTAGTAATAATTAGATGCTTATTTTGAGAAATGGTCCAGATGTGAACAGCCATTTTTGAATGACCATAGTTACTATTCAAATCTCAGCCAATTCACAGAAATCACACACCAAAACAACAGGCCCAAGTTTAATCTCACATGTGACCAGTTACCAACAATGGCCTGAGATGCACATAAAAGACTACAACTCACTTTTTTTTTATCAAAGAGATGTCTGTTTAACTACAGTATCTTGATGACTTAATATTGCTAGAGTATTATTCATTTGACTACCTCTCACACAATGGCTCAAAATTTCAGAAAATTATCTAGTTCTTGGTAACATGGTACCATACTCCCTATTAAAACTGAGAAGCTGTCAGTTTCAACTTAATGCACTCATCAGTAATGAAAACCAAAAGCAGCAACTGAACTTTTGATGCCCATCAAAGACAAATCACATGGGGTATCAAACTGTATCCCAAATTATTGCCAGCATCTGGCTGCCTACCCCAGGTGATGTAGCTATCCAGGGAATGGCAGGGAGTATGTGTGGACCAGCCACACCAGAGCTAAAGAGGACTCCTGATCCCCTGACACAGCCATCCACTAGTTTCTCATCTCCACTAAGCTCAGGTTGGGGGATCCTACTAAAGCTTTGTTGGTTCTCTGGTGATTTATTTTCCCCCTCCACAGATGCTCTAGATGTTCTTTTTAATTATTATAACTATACAAAAAATTTTGGAAGAAGGATAAAATAATGCTATTTGCCCCAGGGACACTCTGTTTCTCAGCAGGTAAGGTGTTGCTCTCTTCACTGAACTAATAAGGTAGGTGCTTTGGAAGATGCATTAACGTGTTAGACCAGGGCACAATTCCCACCACAGTACTTCTTAAGTGGTACCCTTGAGAATTGAAAAAGCAAAACATGGGAGAGGAGACAAGAGGAGGACTGAGCCCAATAAATGCTAATTAAATAATTCATCATACTTAAAGTATCTACTCTTTGAAGAATAACTGGCTTTATCAAGGAGGATGTAACCAGATGTCAGCAGTGCAAAATCAGTTTTCCTCAAAACCATTTACTCCACAAAAAGAAAGGATGAAATTTTTTCTCCCTTTCTCCCTAAAAATATTTTCTCCTCTTATAAAATTTTAAGAGAAAAATTGTTTAATTTTGAAGAATTTAATCAATTTATTTTAAAATATATCATTAAATCAGCCAGGTGTGGTGGCTTACACCTATAATCCCAGCACTTTGGGAGGTTGAGGCGGGAGGATCACCTGCAGTCAAGGGTTCAGGACCAGCCTGGCCAACATGGTGAAACTGCATCTCTACTGAACAAAAATACAAAAATTAGCTGGGTGTCATGGCACATGCCTGTAGTCCCAGCTACTCGGGAGGCTGAGGCAGGAAAATCACTTGAACCCAGGAGGCAGAGGTTGCAGTGAGCCAAGATTGTGCCACTGCACTCCAGCCTGGGCCACAGAGCAACAGGGTGAGACTCCGTCACACACACACACACACGCACACACACGATATATATATATATATAATCAAATTAAGAACTCCAAATATACATTTTAATTATCACCTTCCTCAACAAAACTTGATAGTACTTTCTTCTTACACCTAAAGTATTCTGACCACAGAAACTAAAACTGTATATCTTCAAAGCAGTTAAAGAGCAGACACGCTACTCCCATTTTTAGACATGGGAAACTTTAGTAAAGGAAAAGCTCAGTGAAATACATCAAGATGGTAATAAACGGAGTTACAGAAGCTATACTTCCTGCTTTGTGATGATTAGTCTACACATACTATAGAACACCCATTTCAAAGTGAGCCCAAAATAGACTGACTGTGGCCAATCTGCACAACTGTGGGAGATTCAGATTCACTAAGTCAAAGAGATGAGACTAGTATCATTGGAGATATTGATGAAAGCAGTGTCAGGCATAAAAGAGCATTTATTAATTCTATTGCCATAGCTGTGTAAGTCTTTAACTTTGAAGAACTAGCGTTTACTCTTCCACATAATTTTTTTGGTATTTTAAAGGCTTTTTTTGTCTGTTTTTTTTGGTGAGGAAGGGTGCAAGTATTTAAAACAATATTATTTCAGTAAGACAGAATGTATTATAATGTGATATCCAGGCTACTGCAAATTTCTGACCTCAAAGGTCTGAAACATAAAATCAACTTAATCAATACAATATTTGAAAATGAAGACATTTCCTTCTCTTACAGGCAAAGAGCAAGGGGGAGATAAAGAAAGTTTAAAAGAGCCACTTACAACATGAATCTATGGCATCAGAAGTCAGAATAGTGGTTACCTTTTCATGAAGAGGGGAAATAATATTGACTGGGAAAGGCCACAAGAGAACTTCCAGGGGAAATGGAAATGTTCTGTATTTTGAGCTGAGTAGAGTTCTATGGGTATAAACATGGGCAAAAATTCACTGAGCTGCACACCTAGACTTAAGCATTTTACTGCATGTAAATCATACCTCAATTTAAAAAGTAAAAGCATCCTATACAAGTAAGGCACTGCAACCATAATCAAGGGTAAGAATCACGAAATCAGAATAAGTTAGAAAAAAATTAACCCTTACCAGGATCTACCACAGTACTGTATACAGAATAGATAGTTAAACAAGTATTTCTTACGATAATTTAGTAAGAACACCCTAGATGGTTTGGGAGATCCCTTTTGAACTAATTGGAATTTCAAATGTGACTATTTTCCTGAATATTTTAAGTACAGTTTCAAACCTAAAAAATAGCCTCCAAAAGGTTGACATCAAAGGCCAAGAAAGCTATGTCTCAGAACACAAAGAAAATACACTTGTCCTAACACTGAATGCAGACTTAGGGAATCTTCTTTTATTATTATTATTATACTTTAAGTTCTGGGGTACATGTGCAGAATGTGCAGGTTTGTTACATAGGTATACACGTGCCAAAGAAGGCAATTCATTTTCAACACGATATCCACTGACAGTACGAATCTACCTATAAGCAAGAAACAGAGCTTAACACTCACGAAAGACAAAAAATGCTAAAAACCTGTATGATAGTATTCTGTCTTCTGAAGGATATTCTATTCTCTTCAGTAATTTAGCAGCTATGGAGGGCACAAGCAACCAGCAGTTTTCACACATACCATACAGCGCATAGGTGATATTATCAAAAGATCAGGTTTGATGATCAGGAAAGGCTATGTGTCTGCTTGGTAACACTGAGCAGACAATGTTAGAGTCCCTAGTCCAAGAACCAAAGACTTCTGCACTGAGTTTTAACTTCCATTTTTGGCTAAACCAAGTAACAGGTCTAATTTTCCTTTAGTATATAATTATTTCTGTCCATACCTAGGCTCCTGCATAAACAAAATTCCATGACTGAAATGAAACTGGATGGTCTTTGACACTTAGTGATTTATTTCTATTTCTTAGATAACCAATTCTAAATGTACCATTAAGTGAATTAAAAAATTATGCCTAAATTATTAGGAAATAATACTGTCACATGCTGAATGGGACATTACCTGTCACTATTATTCTAACACAACTTTGATTAGGCAATGTGGTAGTCTGAGATGAGAAGCTTCTACAGTGAAACAAAAGTAATTAACCTTTTTAAAAAGCCAATCAAGAAACAAAAGAACTGAGGATTATTAGCTCTCTCGAAATGCTACTATTCTGTAATAATCAGCTATGCACAAACAGTCACACTGATCACCTGAGATCAAAAAACAAAGGTCAAATTACAAGTTCGTAAGAAATCAGTTTCCTAAATTCCTCCCCTAAACCCCTTCTCCCTAGCAAAGATAGTGGCTTGCCAATATTTAATGCTCTAGCCAGCAGGTTGAAAGTCTCTTTAGAAATTCTTATCTCTTAGAAATTCTTAACTGTCATTTTTGCTAATAGACAATGACAAAATATTCTGCAGAGCCTGTACAACTGCATTGACGTTATATTTCTATATCAACATTAAATAATCCTCACATAGTTTGGTTGTAATTTTTAAAATATCCATTGTAGCTGTCTACAACTGCTGTCCTGCCTAGCCCATTGTGCAGGGCCTTCTCTGCACCAAAGCAATTTCATTGTATAAGTTTTTAAAAAGATATGATCCTGCTGGACTGTGATGCTAGCCAGCATATCAAAATTGAAGCCACTGTGGGAAAAAAAAAAATCCATCCTCAAAAATAAAGCGATTTCTTACTCATTCTGAATCTACCTATAATGTCTATGTTTTTGTGAAAATATGGAAGAGTATATAATGATAACTATTTATCTCTTTAGATGAAAAAATGTAAGCCTTTCTTTCCTTTCTAATAAACACTATCATCTCAGATCCTCCCAGTATCTATTTTAAGGTTTAAGCACCATTACGGAGCCTACAACAATAGATCAGTGACAGGCCTGATCCCATCAATTAACACATTCTAGGGTGGCTGTATGGATTCTGGTTTTCCTACCTCCCTCTTACAGGCCTGGTTTTGACACATTGACATCCCTGGCCTTAAGGATGAATAACCCAGTTAAGGGGAGTTCCTTCCCTGAGACCAATTCCTTTGTAATTAGAGCCAAAATACAAAGGTTGTTAATGACCTAAGGCAAAGTGATATGAACTCTAAGCCAATGAAACCATGACAGCAAGCAGATTTCTAAATAGCAGAGAAGTGGGATCCATTTACTTACATGAAGATTCAGTGCCAAACATGGCTGGCTCCAGAGGCTGCTTTTTAAAAATTAGAAGAAAGAAAAGGGAAAAAAAAAAGAAAGAAAAGCGAGGAGAGTGTACATGTGAGAGTGAAGAGATGAGCCGGCTACACAGCAGGGGTCATGAAGCCAGACAATGCAGTCCAAGCTGTGTCCAGCTGCCAGATTCTCCTGTTACGAGCTTCAGTTTTCTCCCGGTGTGATTGAAATGCAAGGTCTCTTAACAGCACCAAAAACCGAAGAGCTGCTTTTGAAAATCCACTAGGCAAATGAAGGCCGACGTGCCTCTTCTGGGATGCGGTGAGGCTGGACTAGGTAGCAGCAGGGGCAGGACTGGGAGCAGCAGCAACAGCGGATACTGCAATCCCCAGCCCTGCTGTAGCAGTAAGACAATAGCAGGGCTTATGCATACGCTGGATGACGTCAGGGACACTGCACAGACCGACTGCGCTGCTTGAGCCAGAGGCTCCAGGGGCTCCAGGAGAGCAGCGTGATTGAAAGGGGAATTCCTTTGTCACAAAATGCACAAGACCGAGAGCCACGTATACACTCCCCTCCTGCGCAGCTCTTCATCCCATGATACCAGGCAGTAAAAGAGGACTCAAAGAAATTTAAATATTGGCTTTATAGCAATTAACCACAAAGACATCATGCATATCAGTCTTCTTGGTTTTGCGCAGCATATAGAAAGAACTTTTCAAGGGAATTAAGAATATCAGAAATGAGAAACATTATCTGTCTTTAGAAGTAATTACAGAAGAGTTCATTGTTATCTTCTCAAAGCTTATGGTAGATTGACAGATCAAGGATTGTACACTCAATCACAAGTATGTGAAAATATGTATACTATTACACATATATTCTAGGCACATAAATACATACAAATGTAACAGTAAAATAGTAATCTTAAGTACTTAGAACACTGCTTGGCACACAGTGAGTACTCAAATGCAGGCAATTCCATTACTAGCTATTTTGCAACTATTGTTCAAATGTGAAAAACGCTGCTCTAGGAATATATTTACATACATGTATTTCTCCTATTTCTTCATCGTGCCTTACATGAATTTCTGTCATTTTCCAGAGCAACTCAGTCATTTTAAGGCTGTGTGCACACACCTGTGTATACCTCTGTATGAGTAAGCATTTGTGACCAACCCATTTCTTTTTGATCTACCCACACAAAGAAATAATTGAAAATATTTTATCTCTTGACTCACTGGAACAAAAAATGTCTTCCTGTGTTACCATATTCTTATAAATCTGTTTTTAAAGAAAAAGTACTAGAAGCATATGAACTTTCATTAGCTATCCAACACAAGCCAAAAAAAGAGTTTTGTTATGTTTTTAAAATACTGAAATGCACAAAAAGTAAATATATATACATATATACGTAACTTTTAAAATCATATATAGTAGAAAGTTCAATAGTTCAAGTCTCCTCTCCACCCATTCATCCAAGGTATATGCCTTTTCTAATTAATTTCTTGTGTTCACAAAGACATGTCTTGATCTCAATACAGTTTTTAAATATTAAATTCTGCTATGAAAGTGGAACCACATATTACTTTAACATCTAAAAATATCATTAGTACTTTTTCTGGTCAGTATATGTAGGATCTACCTCATCCTTTTAAAGACTGCATAAGATTCCACTGTATGAATGTACCACAGTTTATTCAGGGTAACTTGATCTTTAGCTTACTAAAAATGCTGAGCCATTAAGAAGAACATTTGATGATGCTAAATAAGATAAAGAACAAATCATCTGTTGCGGGAAAGAATAACAATAGCTAATATTTACTGAGTGTTTACTATGTGCCAGGCACTATCCTGGGTCCTTTACATGTATAAACCCATTTAATCTTCATAATAACCCTACAAGGTATATACCACTTTTATCCACATTTGACAGATGGTTAAATACTTTGTCGAGGTCACACAGGTGGTGAATGATATACTGGGCTTCAAACTCAGGAGTCTGGATCCAAAGCAATGCTCTTAAGCACACTACGATAATGCCTCTTTCTTGAACAATGAATAAATAATCAGCAAAATTATATTTAAGGATTTAACTGAAATGAAGGGAAAATAGAAACCAACTCAAAACATGAAGAAAAAAAATCGTTAAAAGAGAAAGGTCATCAGAGAAAGAAAAAAAATCACAGAAAATTGCAGGAATTAATAAAAATGTATACCTTCAAAAACAGTCACATCGACAACCAAGGGGGAATATCAATAATGATGTTGAAATGTAACTGTAGGAAGTGGGAAAGGATAATACAGTTCAAAAGGGTGGAACCTTAAAGCCAGAATATTATCTTACATAAGATCTATTTTAAATTGCATATGAGATGTTGTCACATAAATAGTCACTCAAATAGTGGATGGATGTGGCCGTCAGAAAGGCAAGAGGGAAAAGAGAATGAGAAAATGGCCCCTGGGTTAGAGATATTTTCAAACAGAGGCCATGGTCTACATGTAATAACTGCTTTGCCGACTCATTTATGTTGCTCCTTTTGTTGGCTCATACATGAGAGGGTGTGTATATGTGTATGAAAATGCATTTTTCTGAGGGCCTATATTTACTTCTTGGCACAGGCTTCTAAGAGTTAAAGGCTGTGATTTTTTTAAGTCTACTTTTTAGACAACTGTAACAGGATCAGTATGCTAAAAACATCAGGCATCTCACTTGCCAGGAAAACCGGACACAAATCACACCCTCTGACTCCTATGAAGATTTCTGTTATGTGGAGGCCTGAGGCATTTCTAACCACTTTAGAACGTTTGGATCCACATTGTTGAAGACCCATCTTTGACCAAAATGATTCCAAAAGTTTAGTTCATTCCAGTTCTCTCCTCTAGTCAGCTCAGAGAAGGAACACAAAGTTTAATATGTTGTCTAAAGAAAATGTAATGAAGAAAAATGAAGGATGAATAAAACTGATCTGATATCCCTTACTAACCCCCCTCCAAAAAAAAAGTCATATAATACAATCCAAACCCAAAGTGATCTTTGGCTTAACCACTCTGTCTGAATACCCCTGCCTGCAACCTTGCCCTTCCTTCACAGTAAAGACAGTGCTGTTAATTTCTAGATAAAGTTAGCAACGAAAGGAAGGAAAACATTCAAAGTAGTTTAGTGGTCAAAATAATAATCATTAAATGAGAATGCTATTGACAAAGAACAATTATAGCGAAAATCTTAAAGTCAGTCAACAGTCACTTTTAAAGGAAAGCCTATCAAGCATTCACTCAACAACTATTTTCTGGGAGCTTACTGTTCTACACTCTAGGCATCAGCCATGAACAGAGTCCCTCCCCTATGAAGCTTGTATCTTAGTGAGTGAGACAGAGAAACAAACACGTGACGTGTCAAGTGATGGTATATGTGATGAACAAAGATAAAGAGGAATTAGAGGATAAGGAGTAATTGCATGAGAAGGTTATTTTAGGTAAAATTATCAGGAAAGGCCACTCTAAAAAGGTGACATTTCAACAAGACCTGAAAAAACCACATGGTTAGCCTGAAAACCACGTGGAAGGAAGAGTGTTTCATGCAAAGGCCTTAATAGAAGTGTTTTGGGCCCCTTAAATTATTTTAATAATAAATCTGTTCTTGAATCATCAAATATCAGTTTTGAAAGATATCCCCTTCAGTGCTATAATGATGCCATTAGTACAAAAGTGATTGTGCTGAAAGCAAAATAAATGCTCTTTTCTAATACAAAAAAATCACTCTGCCATGAACTGAAAACATGAGTTGTTCTCTTCAAAGTTTAATAGATTAAATATAGCTATCTTTGCAATGAATGTGTAAATGTTTATAAAAATCACTATGAAAGACAACATTCAAAAGGGCTTCTCACCACATCAGACAGGTAATTTAATTAATGTATTTATTAATGTGGTAAGAACTTAAACCATATTTTTTTCTCTACAGCACACACAACTAAATTTGAAAGTGTCATGTGAATTTCCTTAAAGTCACCTCCTTTGTTCACACTAAAGTTCTTAGTTTCTTAGGATTCTCTTGATGTCTATTTAGAATGTTAAGGCTGTACATCTTAAACTATCAATTATACATATATAAAGTATTACTTAAGAACAACAAATGTTTTAATGGCAATATACAAACTATAGAAAATGAAAGAATTCTTCAATGATGGTGTTCTTTGTGGGAGGAGGTACAAATTTATAACTAAAAGCATACTCATAGTAAAGCTCTGTGGTAGGATTTTACAAATTTGATTTCTCTGCATATGGCTAAAATGTGTTCCTTCCTGCTTCAATGTAGTACCACACATAAAGCGAACCTTCTAAAAAGGTGGGTGCATTTTATTTCAGAGCCCTGGAACAAAAATTCTGGCATGCTAATCTTATGAGGAAAAGAAAATCAAAATGCACACACAAGACACAGATACAGGTATACTTGCTTTAAAGAAACCCTAACATAGAATACTAAAGATTTATAAAACAAATCTTTTGGGGCAATTAATTGCTTTAAAATGTTTTATCTTCAAAAAGTATCTACCACAGAAGTCCTTTAAATAGCAAGCTCCTAAAAGCTATATTTTAAATGAGCAATTTCACAAAACTTTTATTTGCACACTGTAATTAACTGTCTTGCCAAAGATCCACCTACAGTTATAATTTATAGATACTGTGTAAGTAGAGTTCAATCCGGATGCACACTGGAATTTATATTACACTGGGTATGAAAAGTGGCCTCTCTCTGCCCTAGAAAAAAAATTTTCCAATTCTTCGTTCTTTAGTTTAAAAGCAATCTGTCAGCAAACAATGTCGCCATTCCCCAAAAGTTCAAATTTAGGGCAATATAATTCTGAATTGGGTGCACAAATTTTGGGCAAAGACTCATGTCCCTACCTGATCACTGCTTCACCTCCCACCCACACCTTTACCCTACCAGATGTAAGGGAATCGCCCACTTACTCATCAAGTAACCACCACCCATGGTTAATCTAACCTTATTTCTAAACATGTACCAATTTACCATTCAGTGAAACTAGAGATTGAGAAACAAGTCTATGCAATTTAAAAAAGGAAAAGGTTAGAAAGGTCAGAAAAGGTCAGAAAAATCTGGGCACATTTATACTCAGAAAATTTAGGATAAAAACTGAAATTCTCCAATTCACTTCATTACATTAACACCATCTAAAAGAGCAATACACAAGCACAAAACCACCACCACAATAACAGAAACTCTCTGTAGACTGTGTACATATTTTATTCCCTGTGTGGAATAATCTGAACTCAGATGTTTGTACTTTAAATCCTCTGGCCTAAGAGGGGAGAAATGTGGATTAACTATGGGTTGGAGTTTAAGTCCATTTAAGTATGATCCAACTGAAATGGAAGAAACAACAAAGGTATGTCTCAGAAATTCCCTTAAGCACTTATCCTAAATTAATCACAATTTGGATAAAACAAATTCATACAATACTCAGGAATAAACTGATGCACAATATTTTTAAAGTACTCACACAATCAATGTAGTTTTTAAAATATAAATTCAAAATATTATTTTTAAAGTAATTCTACATAACTGGAAAATATTTAACATTTAATTTTACCTGTATAATCCATAATGAAGCAGTAAGCAGGAAACTGAGTATTTTCCAAGTACAACTCTATCAGCCAGAAAATGAAACGGCTCCCTGGACTGACGAACCGTTCTGGGGAAGCCTCCTGCCATGTGACATGAAGCACACCCACACTTCTGCTTATCTCTCTCAAGCGGCAACGGCTGGGCTCTGCTCTCCTTTGCCTGGTCTTTTAAAGTCGTCCTTAGAAATGTCTCTCAGAAAATAACTGTTATTTACTCCCATTTCCCTCCTGTATTAATTATTAGGTTAAAACTAAATTTTGGTTTTAGGTTAAAACTCTAAATAAGAGAAAAAATAAATTATTTTATTCCTGTAAGTGAAAAGGACACAAGATATCCATACTTCTTCCTAGTACTCAATGATATGAAAGAAGCCACATAACCTGAAAGGAATCAGCGTCCAAATTTTTGTCTCAATTTTGTCATTACATTCATTCATTTGATAGTACATATGCATATTTTATCCATTTGTCCATTTGAAATACATTTGACTAATGTGAAAACAAACCTAATAAAGGTGATGCAAGAACAGTCCTTTATAGCATATCTAAGACCTCCAACTCATTTATCCAAGTCCTAAAATAGACATCAGCTGGAAAGGACATATGGTCATTACTGAGACACACTATATCTGATGTAATCTTTAATGTCACATTGCCACATACCCTGAGCCATCTTTTTCCTCCATTGCCAATCTTGAGCATATCCTAGCTTATACTTTAAATAAACTTTAACAATGGCTACTTCATCTTGATACAATTATTTACCTTGCCAAAAGACGAAACATAAATAAATTTTTACTTTTTTTATCTTTTTTTGTAAGCAACCTGAATGGTTGGACAATTTCCAACCCCCACCCTCCACCACTACCAAATTACCACCACTTTGAAGAAGATGAGGTACTAACTGTTTAGAATGCTTTTGCTGGAGTAGTGGGGTGTTTGGTTTTGCTTTTGCTACTTTCCTTTCCACTGAACAGGTTTCTCCAAAAGAAATTATAAAGTTGACAATGCTATAAAATGTGATTTTGAATTTTCAATACAATATCAAAAGTGCGTAATACAAATTCTACAAATTCTAGGATTACTATTATCACTTAACAGATCTCTCCAATAATTTTATTTACTTATTTACTTATTTTTATTTATTTTTGGCGGAGTCTCACTCTGTCGCTCAGGCTGGAGTGCAGTGGCGTGATCTCGCCTCACTGCAGCCTCTGCCTCCTGGGTTCAAGCAATTCTCCTGCCTCAGCCTCCTGAATAGAGTAGCTGGGACTACAGGCATGCAACATCACACCCAGCTAATTTTTGTATTTTTAGTAGAAATGGGGTTTCGCCACATTGGCTAGGCTGATCTCGAACTCCTAACCTTAGGTTATCCGCCCGCCTCAGCCTCTCAAAGTGTTGGGATTACAGGCGTGAGCCACCTCGCCCAGCCATCTCCAATAATTTTATAAAATAAATAAGAAAGTACCATTTCACTCAGTCGTCTAATCAGTGCTTCCTTACCATAAGCAGAGCTCATTATACCACCAATCTGCTACAGTCAAAAGCTGTTAATTCTCATCAACTTCACCTGTCACTGTTGCTAAGTGAGCCTATCTCATTTATTAGGCCTTAATTCTCTTTATCTTAACCTAGGGTACAGATTGGGAAGCCTTCCACAAGTTGTAACAATTTGATATAATTTCTTCCTGATAATTAAGATGTGCAAATGGTTAGAACATTAATGTTATGATTGTTTTAAAATAGTAAGCTCAAAATGCCTGATAATAACTACCTACATTTACACAAAACTTACAAGTGTGTGGAAACGCTGACTGCCATTATCAAATATCACCTGGAATAACATTTTATGCTTTTCACAATTTAGTAGTTAGCATGGATTTTTAAAGCACTTATCTAATTATCTGAGTAGCATTATTTTAAGACTTTTTATTTTTATGCTGTGTATTTTATAATTCTTAAGAGACAGATATTTTAAGGAAATGCATTTTATTAATGGAATGAAAACATAATGAAATATCTAAATTAGAAAGTATAAGACCGATGGACAGATGAGTAGATAGATATAAAACCTACAACCTACTTATAGTTAAGTGATTTGCCATACCTCAGAAATCCAGCAGAGGGGTTAAAAGCCAGGCTTAGCAAACAGAAAAGCCAAGTTTAGTCAGAGAAGATTCAACTCCCATCTCAGCCACTTACTACATAGATTATCCTAATTAAGCAAGTTTTTAAACCTCTCTGAGCCTTGGTTTACTTACATACTAGATAGATTATCTTAATTAAGCAAGTTTTTAAACCTCTCTGAGCCTTGGTTTACTTACTTACTAGATAGATTATCTTCATTAAGCAAGTTTTTAAACCTCTCTGAGCCTTGGTTTACTTATAAATTGACAAAAGGCCTAGATCAATGCTTGGAATGTATTAACAGCTAATATGTAAATAGCACTTTGTGTGTACCAGGCATTGTTCTAATTCATGTATTAACCTATTTAACCCTTAAAACGACCCTAGGAGGTATTATCCCCATTTTAGAGATGAAGAACTGAGGCATGGAGGATAAACAACTTATCTAAGATCAGAGCCAGGATTCAACTGGAGTAGCCTCTAGCTCAGAATCCTTGTGCTTAACCAGTACACAATACTGCCTGTGTAGAGTAGGTGATCATACGGAAGCCAAAAAAAAAAAAAAAATTTCAAAAAACTAGGTTCTTTCCAATAAAACCAAATCTACAGTGGGCCAAACAGTTCAGTTCCGAATTCATAAAAATTCTTTCTATATTCTATGATCAATTCCAACATATGAAAAAATTGAACAGAGAATCAGAATGAAAGGGATAATGTTTAGTCATTGTGATAGCTTAAAATGAGAGTGGCATTAGCCAGTAAAGCAGAAATAAGTACTCAAGTGCAGAAAGCTACAACCATAAAAGGACCTGTCCTACCCAAGGCACACTCAGTAACCACTAAATCCCACTCTACTTTTCAGTTCTCCAAATGTCACAGTAGATACTACTTGCCTAGACTCTATAAACACTGACTATAAATTCAAAGCTCAACAGGAGAGCCTTCAACTAGATCCCTCCACCCACCTCTCAAAGAATTTTCTCTATCTCCATCTCACTCTCAGCAAGTGAGACTTGCTGATATGCCTAGATGCCCCCTTCCCAAACAATCACATCATAGTCCTCTCCAAAACGTATAACGTTCACCTAAGTCAGAAGTTCTTCTCGGGTCACCTGTTCTAGGGACCACTATCCTAACCACAATTTCCTGAGACAGCAGTGGGTTGTACTTATAGCATTTGGCACCCCTGAATCCCATCCCAGAGTCCTGCTACAATTTAACCCTTCGTGATCCAGGTTGGAGAAAGAATCATTACTGAATCAAGAGACCTGGAGTCTAGCCAACACGGCCACTCATTACCTCTCTGATCTAAGATAAATTCTAGAACCCCTGTATGTATCTGTTCCTTCACTGGTAAAATGAGGAGGTGGAACTGGAAAATCCCTAAGATCTAGTCCAACTTTAATAATCTTGGACTCTACTTTAAACCAATTACAGTCAGAGGAGAAAACTCAAGTAACTCCTGCTGATACCTACTCCTTTTCTAGCCCCCACTGTCCCCTCTTCTATCCTGCCAGGGCTTTGGGAACAGCCCCTCCTCAAAGGAGCCAGGATGTATTGTCCTAATTCAGCGTGTTTATGTTGGATGCTGATGTTCTGGGGAGCCTCCTCCTGTTTACAGGGACACTGTTCCTTTCTAGGCAGACCCCCAGTAACTCAGCCTGGTGGTAAGTAGACAGATACACACACACACATTAACACACACACACACACACAAAATACTTAAACTGTTGGAGGATCTGCCTACTAGAGGGTTCATGGCTCATGACCTGGTGGGTCACACCTCTTAGGACAATGTGGCCTGGGTGCCAGCAATAAAGCTTCTGAAGGAGACCATTCTTCCAGGACTTGATTGAGACAGCTGGACACAGAGTGTGAAGCTTTTCATAGAGGACAGCTCAGGGGCTGAGACATAGCTCTCCTCTCTTTCTCTTTCATGGCTTCCCTCCCTGGACTAGTGCCTGCCACGCGAGTCCACGGTCCTCTACCCTCCTCAGAGGAGAACGAGCATGGCTTCCACTTCACTCTTCCCTCTTAAATCAGAAAATCACAGCTTTATCATAATATCTTACATCGCATTTCCAAATTATACAATAACCGACTTTGTTATTACACATGTTTTAAAATACCAGGGTTGGATTATAAATGTTCACTCTATTTTTCTGCATTTCAGAAATGAAAATAGGGGGTTTTCCCTCTAGTCTCAATTCTCACCAACATGTGAGAGCTAAGTCAAAATGCCTTAAGGTTATGTCACATCCCAATTTCACCTTATTACTAAGTCAGAACAAACATTATCTAAGATATCTCATCTTGCTGCTCTCCCAGGCCTCTTACCACCCACTCCAGCCTGCATCTGCATCAGCATTTCCTTTTCATGTTTTGTCATCCTCATTGGCTTTGCTTACTGAGCCCCAAGTCTACCTCATGGCCTATCCCAAAATGTGAGAAGACTCCACTAAAAAAAGGATTATCTGGATGCAGAAGATTCCTAGAGCGTATGCCCAGCTCCTCCCATTACTGGGCTCTACTCCCAAGACCTCAAAATTTAAGTAAGCTAAGACAGATGAGCATCTAGCACTAACCAGATAAAAGAACTACCCTATGAAGTGAGGAGAGAATTCAGCTACTCAACTCAATATCATGACCCAGACCAGTGCTCCACATTCTCCATGGCACTAACCAGACTAGTTACTAGCTACCTAGAACCTAGAACCAAGGCAATGGTTCTGAGAAATTGTCAGTTACTTTCACAGATAACAATCATCCTTATTGAGCACAAAAGCATAATTATGACCAAACGCATGAGTAAAACATAATAAAAGATCTGCTTAACCAAACTCCAAACCTTCAGATAAGGGCTCTTTCTGGATACACAACACCTGTTTGTTGTTATGCTTTAAAAGGATGGTGGCAATAGTGGCAGGATCCCCGGTTCTCAGTGGCTGCAAAGCACAGATCTCTTACATGGTTGTAGGGCCACTCCCTTCTTACAGTGGCCTCAAGAGAACTAAAATCAAGTAACCACAGCTGGAAAAAGGAGGTAAATAACTTTTATAAGAGGTGCTGTGTGGTCTCCCTATCACTGATGTTTTAACTCTATCAGAAGATGACTATAAAAAAGGACATTGGGTTTATGTGTTTAAGGTTAGCCAATTAAAAAAAAATATAGCAATTAATCTTGATGTATAATTAGCAGTCATGAGAAACATTACTAAAGTTACTAAAATGCCTGATAAAAATAAGAAAGATTAAGATTTTCGTCCTACAAATATGAATCCAACAATAAATATGCTTATTCATTTTACATCCTGACAGTGATGGTCATTTTATATACATTTGAATCAAAGCTCTAGTGTAATGATCAGAATCAAACTATAGGTTTGTACAACAAACAGGGAGGTACCCAAGCCAGACATATCCCTCTGTAGAAAAGCTTCTTTAGGCAAACCACAGACCTTCCTGTGTGGTTTTGGTCTGTTCACATGATTGGCAAAAGGAACCACTGGAAAATAAGCAAAGAAAGTCATAAAAAATAGTCATGAATGGACTAGTGTGGGTTGTCCCAGAGGCCAAAAACAAAAAAAAAAAAACAAAAAAAAAGTGGAGAAGTTCTTTAAGGAATTTCTTAGCTGTAGCATACAGCTGCAGTTCTAGGTAAGCAAAGAAGATCACAAATTTCCATGGTACTACAAAACAAATCATTCTCAATGTTTTCTAGCAGGAGCTGGCAAATCCTTTTTATAAAGGGCCAAATAGTAAACAGTTTAGATTTTGTGGGACCATCTGTTCTCTGTCACAACTACTCTATTGTTTCAGTGCAAAAATAGTCATAAACAATACATAAATTAATGTAGCCATGTTCCAATAAAACTTTATTTATAAACTTTGAAATTAAATTTCTTGTAATGTTCACATATCATGACGTATTCTTTTGAAAATTTTTCAGCGATTTAAAAATGTTAAAAAAAAAGTTAGCTTATAAATCTCACAGAAACAGGCAGCCCATGGGCTACAGTTTGCCAAACCCTGTTCAACAATATTTACTGTGGTTGATTTGACCTTTCTCTGCAAGAGCTCTAATCTTCAATTAGGTCTCTGCCATTGACAAGACTCACGAAGATAATGGAATCCATCAACAACTGCCTGATTGCATCAGGGTCAGAAATTCAAGAAAAGTTTCATCCCAATTCCCTTCATTTCTGATGATACTATGAACAATACCTCATTCCCTATCACATTAGAACTGGTGATAAATGCTCAATTTCTGAGAAATTGTCAACTACTTTCCCAGATAAGGAAAACCACATACCTCCAATCCACATACATCTCTAGCCCTTGAAGATTATATAAAAATGGAAATCATGGGCTAAGATTTCCAAGTCTCTTCAATTATATTATAAGCCAGGAAAACTTTCTATAAAACATACTCATAGTGTAGAACACAAGTAATAGCTAGTTTGTCTGAGAAAATCTGACCCTGTTCACCAACAATTGCTGAAAGGGAATTCTTGAGAAACAAGAAACAGACTACAATCCTAACTGCACAGTTAATTAATTTGGTTAGACATTTCACAACAGTATCACTTCATTTATGAAATGAAGAACTTAAAATTATTTCTGAGGTTTTTTTCTAGCTCTAAAATACAACAATTCTGTAATGAGTTACGCTGATCATGATACCTACCTCATTAAGGGTTTCGGCAGATTTCTATTAAAGTTCACATGGATGACTTTTTTTGTCATTAGCCTTCAGATAAGAAGCAGATAATTTCCTCTCTGCTTTTTTGTCTCTGGTTTTTTGAAAGGCTATTGAAAATATATTTCTAATCAAGACAACTGCTACATTCTTAAAATTTTAACACAGATTCTTACAGTTTTAACACAGATATAGGTGATTCTAAGAGAAAATGTAGTGAAGTGTATTACTTGGAAAATGTTTCTAGAGACAGACATTTGTGCCTGTGCAACTATAGACTTCAAATTCATAGAGACAGAAAGTAGAATGGTGATTGCCAGAGGCAGGAGGAAGAAGAAAATGGGGAGTTGTTTAATGGGTACAGAACTTCAGTTTCGTAAAATGAAAAGAATTCTGAAGACTGGTTGCATGGCAATGTGAGCATGAGCTCCTAAGAAGACAGTCAGCCTGTCCTGTGAAGCTTTGAAGCCAGGCATTGACTTCTCTCCAGCTATGAAAGGCCTAGATGGCATCTTCCTCCAATATAACACTGTTTTCACCTACACTGAAAATCTGTTGTTGAGTGTAGCCACCTTCATCAGGTATCTCAGCTAGACCTTCTTGATAATTTGCTGCAGCTTCTACATTAACACTTGTACTTTACCTTGCACTTTTATGTTATGCAGATGGCTTCTTTCACTAAACCAAATAAACCAACCTCTGCTAGCTTCAAAGCGTTCCTCTGCAGCTTCCTCACCTCTCTCAGCCTTCATAGAACCCCTGAAGAAATTAAAGAGAGTTCCTTGCTCTAAATTAGACTTCGGCTTAAGGGAATGTTATGGCTGGTTTGATTTTCTATCAGACCACTCTAACTTTCTCCATATAAGCAATAAAGCTGTTTCATTCTGTTACATTTGTGTGTTCATTGGAGTAGCACTTTACATTTCCTTCAAGAATTTTTCCCTCGCATCCATATCTTGGCTAACTGGCACAAGAGGCCTAGCTTCTGGCCTATGTCAGCTTTTGACATGCCTTCGTCATTAAGCTTAATCATTTCTAGCTTTTGATTTAAAGTGAGAGGCATATGACTCTTCCTTTCACTTGAACACTTATAAGTCACTGTAGGGTTATTAATTGGCCTAATTTCAATATTGTGTCTCAGGGATTAGGAAGGTCGAAAGAGAGGGAGAGAAACTAGAGAAGGGTAGGTCAATGGAGCAGCCAGAACACACACACTTATCAATTAAGCTCTCTGTCTTATATGGATGTGGTTTGCGGCACCCCAAAACAACTACAATACTAACATCAAAGATCACTGATCACAGCTCACCATAACAGATATAATAATGAAAAGGTTTGAAATATTGTAAGAATTACCAAAATGTGAGTCAGAGACATGAAGTGAGCATGTGCCATTGGAAAAATGGCACGACAGATGCTCAATGCAGGGTTGCCACAAACCTTCAATTTATAAGAAGTGCAGTATCTGCAAGGCAGAATAAAGCAAAGTGCATCAAAACAAGGTGTGCCTCTATATGGTTAGGGTCAGAATAACTGGCTAAACTAATTATAAAAGTTTGGTAGGAATTAGGTATATTTCTGTTCTTACATTTGTTGAAAAATATTAACTTTAAATGGCAATTATGCAAAGCTTATACAAATTTTAATTGTGAATAAAAAGACATAAAAATATAAAGAAGGAATAAACATTGTGCTGTTACATCTAATGCCTAGCAATGCTTGTTGAGTCAACAATTGAACTAGCTTGAGTAGAAAGCAACTCCTGAAGTCTAAGAAAGGGTACAAACCATTCAGAATAGGTAGTCATGCTACACTGCTACTGACTGGTGATAGCATTCTGAAAACACAAGGATGGTAAGAAGGAAAGAGTGAACTGTTGAAACTTTAAAGATGGAAGTAAGAGGATGACAGATTCATAACAACTGCTCTCTTTTGAAAGCTTTACTATTTCCAATAAGATATGGACACTGTTCTTTCAAAAGACACATTGACTCTACTATAAATCAACCATGAAAAAGGTATCAGGTGGAAAAAGTACTGGAATTAAAGCAAAATCCACTTTGGAGCCTTCTTTAGGCAACTCTGTGCCTCAGTTTTCACAGACATGAGCTATGAGTTGCTATGAGGTTCATGTAAGATACTGGTGAAAGTGTCAATGGTAAAGTGTCAGGAGCTAGCATTATTTATTAGTATTAATTTAATTACTATTGTTGACTCTCTTAAATAAAACATCTCTGAAACATTTCTATTTATGATCTACGTATTTATTTATGTCTAAGAAACAAAATGCATTAGCTTTTTGAATGTTAAAATACCTAATTAAAGATAAAAAATAAATACTTCCTATAACTTGGCCACTCTTTTACATGGTACTCTATCTTCTGAATTCAATTTAGATTTTTTCCCAGGACATTTTTTTAAGCAGAAACATGCCCTGCATACTTTTCATGAGCAGAATTTATTTTTAAGTTGATGTCTGGGAATTCAGCATACTACATCTTCAAACAGTGGTCCATGGTAGTCATTGTTTCCACAGTCCATCAGCACTTGGGCAGGAAGTGTGACAGGCGAAGAAGAAACGGAATCTCTTGGGGTCTATTAGTAATGTCCTTTAGCATTTCATTAAAACCTGACACACATAACTATTTGTAAAAATTGGAAATATTTTTACATTAGTAATAATCAATATGAAGGCAGAGAGGAAAACAGGGGACATTTGTGGCTTACCATCACAGGAGATGGCTGTAAGTGAAGTGGACTGAAACTGGGCTAGCCTTAGGAACAACAGCCTTTAGATATTCCTGTTCTGTACAATGTTAAAATAATATTAGATTTTAAACTTACATGTGACTTGTTAACATCAAAAATTTGTTCTCACAAGTCACAAGAAGTGATACATAAAATGAAGAAAAAAAAATTAAGTTATTTTTGTCAATATTATAAAATATTGACAAATACATTCCACTTCTGTAAAATTAGATTTGACAGACCTGTCTTGGCATTTCACTGGGAATGTAAAAGATTCTAGGAATGTGTATATCTTTCTTTAAAAAAAAGTAGTGCATTGAGAACAGATGATATCATAAGGAACAAAATACAGAGGCCTGTGGACTTCTAGGCATTATGCAGTAGCAATATATTTAAACACAGCCATATTTTAAAAATAGCTAACAAAACGAAAACATAAAACATGCTAAGTTTCCACATAAAACATGCTAAGTTCCCATTACTCCTAATTCCACTTGAATCAAATTTTATTCATACAAATACAGATTAAAGCATCATAAATGTTTTGTTCTATCCAAAATATTCCATGGAAGATAAGTTATCTTTGTCATCATTGCTATAACCTATATTTTTAGAAATGAGGTATTATTTTAAAATTATTCTAAAGCATTTACCTCTAAAGTATTACAGGAGAAAAATGAGAGTTCGTAGTCATTTTATTTTTATTTTTATTTTATGTATGTATGTATTTATTTATTTATTTTGAGACAGGGTGTTGCTCTGTCGTCCAGGCTGGAGTGCAGTGGTGTGATCTAGGCTCACTGCAACCTCCGCCTCCCGGGATCAAGCAATTCTCTGGTCTCAGCCTCCCAAGTAGCTGGGACTACAGGCATCTGCCACCACACCCGACTAATTTTAGTATTTTTAGTAGAGATGGGGTTTCGCCATGTTAGCCAGGCTGGTCTCGAACTCCTGACCTCATATGATCCGCCTACCTCATTTATTTTCAACATATACAGCATATTTCCGAATTGTTGAGATTAAACAAGTTGAACATTTCATGCTTTCTCTCCAGAGACTTACCCATGATGAAATGGTACAATTCAGAGCCAAGTGGATAACACGAAGGCAAGGTCAAAGAACTCTGTAGCTATCAACTTACATCTCTGATTATCAATGTCCAAGAAATCATTTTCAGAAAATGGGGTTTCTTCTCCCTAATTTAACAATTTTACTGTTACATATCCAAAAGATAATCATTTTCCATCTGGATCAAGTCAACATATTTTTCTGTCAAAAATGTGTGATCCATACTAATTGGCATTCATCCATATCAATGTAAAAAAAACTTTTCAAAAAAGAAAAAACCTAAATAGGATTTTTAATGGGATACCATAAAATTTAGTCTTTTCAATTTAAAAGGTAGACAACAGACAATGGCAGTCTCATTCTCATTTTGAGAAATTCTGATCTCTGAGTTGTAGAGACAATGAAAAATGAAGGAGAGAACTCTGAACAGATTGTAGTCACCCTGCAAAGACACCCTCCATGTCACATGAATCAAATTAGCAATAATTGCAGCCTACAGACAACTCATTCAAAAGTTGTCCTTTGAACAACTCAAAACCCCTTCCTATGAAACATTTTCTTAAAAAAGTCCTTCAGTACACCACAAGGAAAAGATATACACATTCGTCAGGTATGGTGGCTCACGCTCTAATGCTAGCACTTTGGGAGGCTGAGGCAGGAGGATCACTTGAGCCCAGGAGGTCAAGACTAGCCTGGGCAACATGGCGAAACCCCCATCTCTCCCAAAGTTATACAAAAATTAGCCAGGCATGGCCAGGCGCAGTGGCTCACGCTTGTAATCCCAGCCCTTTGGGTGGATCACCTGAGGTCAGGAGTTCAAGACCAGCCTGTTCAACATGGTGAAACCCCATCTTTACTAAAAATACAAAAATTAGCCAGGTGTGGTGGTGTGCGCCTGTAGTCCCAGCTACTCAGGAGGCTGAGGCAGGAGAATTGCTTGAACCCAGGAGTCAGAGGTTGCAATGTGCCAAGATTGGGCCACTGCACTCTAGCCTGGGCGACAGAGTGAGACTGTGTCTCAGAAAAATAAAGAAAAATTAGCCAGGTATGGTGGTGCACACCTATAGTCTTAGCTACTTGGGAGGCTGAGATGGAAAGATCACTTGGGCCCAGGTGGGGCTCATGACACTGCACTCTAGCCTGGGCGACAGAGTAAGACCTTGTCTCAAAAAAAAAATAATAATAATACACACATTCTAAAAAACTAATTCAGGCTTGGCGTGGTGGCTCACGCCTGTAATCCCAGCACTTTGGGAGGCTGAGGCAGGTGGATCACCTGAGGGCAGGAGTTCGAGACCAGCCTGGCCAACATGGTGAAAACCTGTCTCTACTAAAAATACAAAAAATTAGCTGGGCACGGTTGTGGGTGCCTGTAATCCCAGCTACTCAGGAGGCTGAAGCAGAAGAATTGCTTGAACCTGGGAGGCAGAGTTAGCAGTGAGCCGAGATTGGCCCTTGCACTCCAGCCTGGGCAACTAGAGCAAAAACTCCATCTCAAAAAAAAAAAAAAAAAAAAAAAAAAGGAAAAAAAATTCAGTAGATGCATCTAATTTCATGTTGTCTTAATCATATAAAATCATAAACAGATTTTGTTATTATTAATTTGCATAATTTCTTCATTCAGTGGTTCATAGTGAAGAGATTCTGCCTTTAACACACATACATACAAACACACACACACACACACACACACACAGCCTCAACTACAATCCTTAGGAGGTTACCAGAGATTCTATATATCTGATCAATTTGAAACAGATTGCATTGAAAATATATCATGCTATTAACTGGAGGTAATTAATGAAACTTTTAAACACAACAAATGCTGTGTAAAAATAATAATATTGTATTAGAACCTTGAAATCCTAAAATAATGGGTCTTAGTTCATCTCCAGTTAAAATTACTTAGACAAACGTTAGTGTTTAAGAGTGTATATTCATAAGGCTGGGCATGGTGTTGCATTCTCACAGTCTCAGCTACTCGAGAGGCTGAGGTAGGAGGATCATTTAAGCCTAGGAGATCAAGACCAACCTGGACAGCACAGAGAGACCTGTCTCTAAAAAATATATAAAATAAATAAAGTATTTTATTTTATTTTACTTTATTTGAGACAGAGTCTTGCTCTGTCGCCCAGGCTGGAGTACAGTGGCGCGACCTCGGCTCACTGCAACCTCCACATCCCAGGTTCAAGCAATTCTCCTGCCTCAGCCTCCCGAGTAGCTGGGACTATAGGCATGCACCACCATGCCCAGCTACATTTTTTTGTATTTTTAGTAGAGATGGGGTTTCACCATTGTTGGCCAGGATGGTCTTGATCTCTTGACCTCGTGATCCGTCCGCCTCAGCCTCCCAAAGTGTTGGGATTACAGGCGTGAGCCACCACGCCTGGCCAATAAAACATTTTAAAAAGAAAGTATGTTCATAACACATAATGTCTTGTCCATGTACTTTCCCATGTACTTTTATTATATTTTGTCTGTAGACAAAATAGACATCAGATTATCTTTGTGGAACAACAAAAGGATCCTGCCATTACTATGGTATTGGAGGGAAGAATAAGAAAAATCAGCCACTTTTTTTTAAATATACCCCCTGTAATGATATTAATGCAATTATCAATCTATCACCCATAATTACAAAAAAAGATAATAACACTAAACTGTATCAAAAATGTTCTCTGGTTACAATGACAATTACATAAGATATACCTTCTTCCAAGGTTGGCCCAGGAACAACCTCAAAGGTTTGTAAGCTCTGTTGACAGCCTGCAGTGATTGCTTCTGAAAGTATCATTGCCTGATCCTGCAATTTTATCACCTTACTAACTACTAGTCCTTTCTGCAGCTCACACAGACATAAACCCCCTTTTTCCAGCTCATTTATCAAGTGAAAGGTTCCTTCCCATGAAAATGGACACCTGAGCTCCAGGGACCATAATAGAAAACAGCAGGAAAACCACTCAACTATACTTAGTATTGGTAGTTTTCTTTTCTATGTTTTTTTCAGGCAAAAGGTAGACTTTAAATTTGGAAATATACAAATACATACATTCTTCTACATAATACTACAAGTAGTTTAATTTGTCTTTTAAAGTGGAGGCAGGCGAATACTACTTAGGTGAGGTTTCAGTTGACGATGATTAGACCTCCTGCTTTCTTCCCTTCATCGGCAGCACAGCAGTTTTTAAATCATCTACATGGATTTTTGTGCACATGAGATAAGGTGCCGGTTTCACTGCTGCTGCTCAAAACAAATGTCAATGGCTTTTTCAGTGTTATCCAACCACAACATTAAAATGTTCTACTAATTGTCTGGTGCTCAAAAAGCATCTTAGATTCACAATGCCATAGGCTACAATACAGAAAAACATCCAGAAGCTTCAGAGAATGTCTACCAGATGTCTGGGTTTTTCAGAGAAGAAATAATTCTTTGAGTTCTGGAATTTCTAAATTTTAATAACTCTTACCATCAAAAAGATCCAGCAATACTTCTCAATGAGGGTGTTATTGGTATTTTAGGCAGGATAATATTACAGTCAATATCCCTGGCCTCCCAGGTATTATGGCCAGTAGCACTAACAAGTCATTGCAACAAGGCAAAGCCCACACCCACATTTCCACATGGCAGTACTGCCACGCAACCTTCATATGTATTTCCCTGCGATCTTAAGTCACACAAAGCTCTGAAAAAGCTTCTCCTAATAATGCAATTACTTTGATAGACTACAGAAGTAACTGGAGATGCAAATAAAGATGATGTGGGATATAGGCCTAACCTCTAAACAGGCTCTCGAACAAGCTGCTTCAAAGTCTCAAAGATCACTTTGCTTTTTGGTCACTTGTTTCTCCCCTCATAAAGGTATTAAATACCTCATAAAGGTATTAAAGTTATCTCAAAGCCTGTGCTATTCAATATGGTAGCCACTAGCTATAAATGGCTAAATTTAAATTAATTAAAATTAAATATTCACTTCCTCAGTCACACTAGCCACATGAGCTCAACAGACACTGTATTACAGGACATTTCCATTATTGCAGAAAGTTCTATTGGACAACGCTGCTCTAAAAACTTCCTAAGCATATGACCTGCCACCAACTCATTGCCATTTTGAGGGTAGTTTGCAGCAAAGACAGAATTCTTCAGTGTCAGTAACAGAAAGTACTTACACAGTCCACGGTTCATCTCCAAACACTTTTTGATATTTGGCTTTAAAAGAAAATTCTAGGCTGGGCGCAGTGGCTCACGCCTGTAATCCCAGCACTTTGGGAGGCTGAGGTGGGTGGATCACGAGGTCAGGAGATCGAGACCATCCTGGCTAACACGGTGAAACCCCATCTCTACTAAAAAATACAAAAAATTAGCTGGGCGTGGTGGCAGGCACCTGTAGTCCCAGCTACTTGGGAGGCTGAGGCAGGAGAATGGCGTGAACCCAGGAGATGAAGCTTGCAGTGAGCTGAGATTGCGCCACTGCACTCCAGTCTGGGTGACACAGCGAGACTCTGTCTCAAAAAAAAAAAAAAAAAAAAGAAAGAAAATTCTAGGCACAAGCAAAATTAAAAACAGAAATGTCAACAGTAGACCAAGTTATTTAGTATCTACAGAATGGATCAGTTCTCTTACAGTATCTTCTAAACAAAGTGTCCTAAAAGATAATGTTGATAAGTGAAATGATACTAGGAACATGACTAACCTTTCTTTCCCTTCTAGATATCATCTTCTAAGGGCAAAACCTTGTTTTATTAACAAAAGAAGAATGTCCAGTGGCTGGTATGCCATCACTCACAATGCTCTGCGTGGCCTTTGAGGGCCACAGAGGTATGATGTCTATTTGCTCCTCCCAAATTCAGAGCTGTTCCATTTTCTTTTCTGTTACTGGATACTTTTCCTCATAGGGTTTGTTGTTTGTGCACTTACTAAACCTTGGAATTGTGCCCAAGAAGGGGCCCTGAAGGCTGAACTCCAAGTATCTAAGATGCTTAGTATATAAGTTCCTGAAAAAGTATTTAATAAAGCTGTAAAAATATTTTTCTACCTCTCTACTATTTGAAACTCTAAGATGACAGCAGTAATTCTAATTCTGTTATAATTCCTTGTATACCAGAGTTCTCCAATTTCGTGTACCTAAGCTTATTAGGAGGCCTACTATTGAAAAAAAGAAAGAAGGAAAGATATTTCAATCTCAAGCAATTTGGAAGGCAGTATATAGCACAAGCATGTCTGAGTTCCAACCACGTTCCACCACAAGTTGACATGCTCTAGGACCTTAGGCTGGTTGCATGGTAAGCCAAGGTTCTCAACTGAAAAATTAATTGATAAAAGATTATCATGCAAAATGCCTAGCACATAGTAGGGACACAAAGTATTTTGCTAAGGTTACTTTTGCCCTTACTGTTCCTTCTGCCTGAAACATTCTTCCCCTGATAGTGCAGAGAGATAGCTTGTTCTCATTCTTTAGGTCTCAGTCACCTCCCTTACAGAGGCCTTTCCTGACCACTTAAGTTCAATATATGCCCATTATTCTCTATCACAGCTCCCTGTTTAGTTTCTTCCCACTATTTACTCATGATGTATAAGGAATTTACATATTCGCTTAGTTCTCCATTATCAGTTTTTCTCACCAGAACATAAGTTCCATGAGGACAGTATGTCCTGGAAGAAAAGCAAAGTGTCTGGCACATAGTAAATGCTCAATAAATAGTTGGCATATAAATGAATGACTCAGTTTCTGGATTAAACAAAGTTAACTGTTTCCTTACAACAGAACTCCTCATTCTGAGAGGTGACAGTGTGCTGGCAGCCCTCGCAGCCCTTGCTCACTCTCGGCACCTCCTCGGCCTTGGTGCCCACTCTGGCCGCGCTTGAGGGGCCCTTCAGCCCGCCGCTGCACCGTGGGAGCCCCTCTCAGGGCTGGCCGAGGCCGGAGCCAGCTCCCTCGGCTTGCGGGGAGGTGTGGAGGGAGAGGTGCAGGCAGGAACCAGGGCTGCACACGGCACTTGCGGGCCAGTGTGAGTTCCGGGTGGGTGTGGGCTCGGCGGGCCCCACACTCAGAGTGGCCAGCCGGCGCTGCCGGCCCAGGGCAGTGAGGGGCTTAGCACCCAGGCCAGCAGCTGCAGAGGGTGCGCCGGGTCCCCCAGCAGTGCCGGCCCGCCAGCGCTACGCTCGAATTCTCGCTGGGCCTCAGCTGACTCCCCAGTGGGCAGGGCTCAGGACCTGCAGCCTGCCATGCCCGAGCCTCCCCCCTGCCTCCATGGGCTCCTGTGCAGCCCGAGCATCCCCGACAAGCACCGCGCCCCGCTCCACGGCACCTGGTCCCATCGACCGTCCAAGTGCTGAGGAGCGAGGGCACACGGCATGGGACTAGCAGGCAGCTCCACCTGCAGCCCCAGTGCGGGATCCACTAGGTGAAGCCAGCTGGGCTCCTGAGTCTGGTGGGGACTTGAAGAACCTTTATGTCTAGCTAAGGGATTGTAGATACACCAATCAGCACTCTGTATCTAGCTCAAGGTTTGTAAATGTAACAGTCAGCACTCTGTATCTAGCTAATCTGGTGGGGACTTGGAGCACCTTTATGTCTAGCTAAGGGCCTGTAAATACACCAATCAGCACTCTGTGTCTAGCTCAAGGTTTGTAAACACACCAATCAGCACCCTGTGTCTAGCTCAAGGTTTGTAAATGCACCAATCAGTGCTCTGTGTCTAGCTAATCTAGTGGAGACTTGGAGAATCTTTATGTCTAGCTAAAGGATTGTAAATACACCAATCAGCACTCTGTGTCTAGCTCAAGGTTTGTAAACACACCAATCAGCACCCTGTGTCTAGCTCAAGGTTTGTAAATGCACCAATCAGTGCTCTGTGTCTAGCTAATCTAGTGGGGACTTGGAGAACTTTTGTGTCTAGCTCAGGGATTGTAAACGCACCAATCAGCAACCTGTCAAAACAGACCAATCAGCTCCCTGTAAAACAGACCAATCAGCTCTCTGTAAAATGGGCCAATCAGCAGGATGTGGGTGGGGTCAGATAAGGGAATAAAAGTAGGCTGCCCGAGCCAGCAGTGGCAACCCACTCGGGTCCCCTTCCACACTGTGGAAGCTTTGTTCTTTTGCTCTTTGCAATAAATCTTGCTGCTGCTCACTCTTTGGGTCGGCACTACCTTTATGAGCTGTAACACTCACTGCGAAGGTCTGCAGTTTCACTCCTGAGCCAGCGAGACCATGAACCCACCAGAAGGAAGAAACTCAGAACACATCCGAACATCAGAAGGAACAAACTCTGGACACGCCACCTTTGTGAACTGTAACGCTCACCATGAGGGTCCGTGGCTTCATTCTTGAAGTCAGCGAGACCAAGAACCCACGAATTCCGGACACAATTCTTTTCCAAGCAAATCTGCCTTGTGACTCTTCTAGAAGGTCATAGGGTATGGGATATTTCTCCTACTGGCTATCGAATCCTTTTCTTATAGAAGACATTCATGTCTCCAGAACTAATGTTTTATGGACACAAATTTGAAAAACATCAGCTATATATGTCCATTCAGTTGTATACTAGAAAGTGTAAATAGTATCTAAATGTCATCTAGGCAATTTTATCACCTACTTTGGCAAAAGGGAGTTATTCATTTGCACCATGAGGAAACACTAAAATATTTAAATCAGACTAGGTAACTTTCTGGTCTCTGCATATTAATAAAGAAGAATGCACCTATTCAGAAAATGACAACTAATGGACTGGAGTAGGGAACATAACAGATTCCTAAACTGCCTGGTTACGAAGAGACTGTAGCCACCTAAGCAAGCCTGATAAGATGAAGCAGCACTAACAAGTTTATATTATCTATCAGCAGATCAGCATCTATAAGAATTGGCAGAGGTATTAGCTCAATTTCCTAGACAGTGTTTCCCAGAGTGCATTCCCACACATTTGGATGTGACAAGTATTGAACATAAAGAACTGGGAATTGGCCGGGCATAGTGGCTCACGCCTGTAATCCCAGCACTTTGGGAGGCCGAGGTGGGTGGATCATGAGGTCAGGAGATTGAAACCATCCTAACACAGTGAAACCCCATCTCTACTAAAAATACAAAAAATTAGCCGGGTGTGGTGGCACATGCCTGTAGTCCCAGCTACTCGGGAGGCTGAGGAAGGAGAATCACTTGAACCCAGGAGGTGGAGGTTGCAGTGAGCTGAGACTGTGCCACTGCACTCCAACCTGGACGACAGAGCAAGACTCCGTCTCAAAAAAAAAAAAAAAAACGGGGAATCTGCAAGAGTTAACACCAGAAACCAAAAAGTGGAAGACACATCAGTTTGTTATGGAGGTAAGAAGGGGTAGGAACTCTAGTCTAATCCTATAAAGTCACTAGGAAATCCAAGATGGCCATGTAGCAGAGATTAAAAGCTGGCAGCCCACAGGTCATATCTAGCTCAAACATGTGTCTTTTCAGCCCAAACACAATTTTTAAAATTTTAATTAGTTGCTAACATTTGTAAATTGGGAAACTTCATATAAAAATTGACGTTTTCAACTTTCCTTGAAAAGTTAGAAGATATGGTGCACAGATAACCCACATTCCCTCACAGCAACAACTGACTGGAACAAATAGCTCACACCTACTGTAGGTAGGCATCTGAGTTTGCAATTCCTGGACATACTCAAAGTTATGATCCATATCAGGAGCTGAATAGCAGGAATGAGGAAGGGGCAAGCACAGTCAAACTAAGAAAAACACTAGACATTACAGTCTGCAGCATCATCCAAGACATTCTGTAAAACAGCTTCCTTCTCACTCAGGATTGCTTCCCATGGGCTCCCAATAAGTGCCAGCCCTGGCCATTTATAGCTTGTATGTCACCTCTAGCCCATCATATCACCTCACCATGAAGAGTTTATTCTCCTCACTTGGTATTTCACACTGGTGATGAGTGTTAATAATAATGCCTTTCATTGGTGGTAGTCTGTTTTAGAAAGCTTTCAGGTAAACTTAGATATGTATATATGTACATTACCATAAAACAACCCTAGGACGGGGATGGTTACTATTCCTCATTTGTCAAAGGGCAAAGGCATAGAGATTATTTTGTCTCTTATGAGTAAGAGCAAAGACAAGACTAATATCTCTTGGGTTGGTGATTCTTTTCTGTCTTCCATCTATGTACTAGATTTTGTTATGTGTATTACTTAGGTCATATCAGAAAGCAGATACTGCACTCAGAAGATTTTGAGGAGAATTTAATAAAGGTGTAGAAAGGGCACAGGCTTTGGTGAAGGAGCACAGCCAGATAAGTCACTCTCCTTAAGTCCCCCAATCTCCTACCAGGCTTCCTCCCATGGGCTAAACCCAACCAGAATACAGAGGCATGCAAGACATTTGACTGAAAAAGTCGATCCTGATTACCTCCCAGGAAAGAAGGAAACGGTAAAAAAAAGAGTGAAAAGTAAGTATGAAAGAGCGAACAGAAAAGGACTGGTACATCATGCAATCTCTAGTCATTCATTTTACATTACACATATTCCCAGCATCAATTTCCCAACAGAAAAACCACTGTTAGCACTTCATGTTCCACAGCTAAATACTTCTCTTTTTTATTATGGTCTCTAAGAGAGAACTCCTCCAATGTCGAAGTATTCCCTCGAATGGTTAATGAATTCATTTTTAATAGTCTTGAGTAGAAAAATATCACTAAAGATTTTCTTTTAATCTAAAAACATTGCGTCCATTGGTTTATCCTTGTTTGGAGGTAATTATACCCTCCCAGACATATCTAGTAGATTCTACCATAAAAATCAGGCTTTCTTTCCCCAAAGATTTATAGTTGTTTCCTTAGTCAATGATTCTATTATTTATTGTGCATAAAAATCACCGGTCAGTTAAACATTATATATTTTGGCAAATAATTAATTATGCCTTTAAGTTTCCTTGATGCTTTTGGAAAGATGTCTTTGAATCTCAGAGAGTGAAGTATTTTTTATTTATTAATCAACCTCAAACCATCCTCCAGTCTATTTGCTTCAACAGAAAATTTTAGAATCTTGAAGACATTATATTAAGTGAAATAAGTTAGTCATAAAAGGATAAATATTACATGATTCCTCTTAAATTAGGCTCCTAGTGTAGTCAAATTCATAGAGAGAGAAAGTAGAACGGTGATTGCCAAGGGTTAGCAGGAAGGTGGAAGGAGGAGTTGGTGGAATGGGTACAACGTTTCAGTTGGTGAAAATGAAAAAGTTCTAGAGATAAACAGTGGTGACGACTGCATAACAATGTGAATGTACTTAATGCCACGGAACTGTATACTTTTAAAATAGTCAAAATGGTAAATGATATGATATATTTTAGCATAATTTTAAAAAGAAAACTAAGAAATTAGGCATCTACCTCTCATTATCTACTTTACACTAAAGCAAAAAATTCTTTTAGTATTTCTGCTACCTGCTTTTCTATTTGAAAATACCTTATACAATACAATCAAAGTACACTACTGATTCCTTAGCCACATTTCTGCCTTCAATGTATTTAGAACCTCTCTTATTGCTAGTTGTGAAGTTTCTACATGGTGAGTCTCAATTTCATCCCTGATCCTTCTAAATAAACTCTATTTCCCCTAGCTCTGGTATCTATTCTGAGAATAAAAGCTGATGTGATCCCTCAGAAATAGTCTTTAGATTATTATGCTCCTGGCCCATGCCAAACACTGAAGTTTCCAAGATGATTAAGTCAAGATTTCTGTTCTCAAGGAGCTCTATTAGTGGAGAATGCAAATATGGTTTGATATGGTTTGGCTCTGTGTCCCCACCCAAATCTCATCTTGAATTGTACTCCCATAATCCCCACGTGTTGTGGGAGGGAGCCGGTGGGAGGTAATTTGAATCATGGGGGCCGTTTTCCCCATACTGTTCCCATGGTAGTGAACAAGTCTTACGAGATACGATGGTTCTATCAGGGGTTTCCGTTTTTGCATCTTCCTCATTTTCTCTTTCTGCTGCCATGTAAGAAGTGCCTTTTGCCTCCTGCCATGATTCTGAGGCCTCCCCAGCCATGTGGAATTGTAAGTCCAATTAAACTTCTTTTTCTTCCCAGCCTCAGGTATGTCTTTATCAGCAGTGTGAAAACAAACTAATACAGTACATTGTTGCCAGTAGAGTGGGGCGTTGCTAAAAAGATACCTGAAAATGTGGAAGTGACTTCGGAACTGGGTAACAGGCAGAGGCTGAAACAGTTTGGAAGGCTCAGAAGAAGACAGGAAAATGTGGGAAAGACTGGAACTTCCCAGAGACTTGTTGAGTGGCTTTGCCCAAAATGCTGATAGCGATATGGACAATAAAGTCCAGACTGAGGTCATCTCAGATGGAAATGAGGAATTTGGGAACTGGAGCAAAGGCGACTCTTATTATGTTTTACCAAAGAGACTGGCGGCACTTTGCCCCTGCCTAAGAGATTTGTGGAACTTTGAACTTAAGGGAGATAATTTAGGGTATCCAGCAGAAGAAACTTCTAAGCAGCAAAGCATTCAAGGGTGACTTGGGTGCTGTTAAAAGCATTCCATTTTAAAAGGGAAGCAGAGCATAAAACTTCAGAAAATTTGCAACCTGACAATGCCAATAGAAAATCCCATTTTCTGAGGAGAAATTCAAGCCAACTGCAGATATTTGCATAAGTAATGAGGAGCCGAATGTTCATCTCCAAGACAATGGGGAAAATGTCTCCAGGGTATGTCAGAGACCTTTGCGGCAGCCTCTCTCATCACAGACCTGGAGGTCTAGGAGGAAGAAATGGTTTCATGGGCAGGGGCCAGGGTCCCGTGCTGTGTGCAGTCTAGGGACTTTGTGCCCTGCATCCCAGCTGCTCCAGCCGTGACTGAAAGGGGCCAGTATAAAGCTCAGGCCATGGCTTCAGAGGATGCAAGCCCAAGCCTTGGAAGCTTCCACATGGTGTTGAACCTGCAGATGCACAGAAGTCAAGAATTGGGGTTTGGGAAACCACGTAGATTTCAGAAGACGTATGGAGATGCCTGGATGCCCAGGCAGAAGTTCACTGCAGGTATAGGGCTCTCATGGAGAACCTCTGCTAGGGCAGTGCAGAAGGGAAATGAAGGGTCAGAGCCCTCACATAGAGTCCCTACTGGTGCTCTGCCTAGTGGAGCTGTGAAAAGAGGGCCACTGTTCTCCAGACCCCAGAATAGTAGCTCCACCTACAGTTTGCATCATGAACCTGGAACAGCCACAGACACTCAACACCAGCCCATGAAAGCAGTGGGAGAGAGGCAGTACCTTGCAAAGCCATGGGGGCAGAGCTGCCCAAGGCCATGGGAACCCACCTCTTGCATCAGTGTGACCGGGATGTGAGACCTGGAGTCAAAGGAGATCATTTTGGAGCTTTAAAATTTGACTGCCCCACTAGATTTTAGACTTGGTTGGGCCCTGTAACCCCTTTGTTTTGGCCAATTTCTCCCATTGGAATGGCTGTATTTACCCAACATCTGTACTAGGACGTAATTAGCTTGCTTTTGACTTTACAGGCTCATAGGCAGAAGGGATTTGCCTTGTCTCAGATGTAACTTTGGACTGTGGACTTTTGGGTTAATGCTGAAATGAGTTAAGACTTTGGGGGACTGTTGGGAAGGCATGATTGGTTTTGAAATGTGAGGACATGAAATTTGGAGAGGCCAGAGGTGAAATGATATGGTTTGGCTCTGTGTCCCCACCCAAATCTCATCTTGAATTGTACTCTTCTAATTCCCACGTGTTGTGGGAGGGTGTCAGTAGGAGATAATTTGAATCATGGGGGCGGTTTCACCCATATTGTTCTCTTGGTAGTGAACAAGTCTCACAAGATCTGATGGTTTTATGAGGGGTTTCTGCTTTTGCATCTTCCTCATTTTCTCTTGCCGCCACCATGTAAGAAGTGCCTTTTGCCTCCCCCCATGATTCTGAAGCCTCCCCTGCCATGAGGAACTGTAAGTCCAATTAAACCTCTTTTTCTTCCAAGTCTTGGGCATATCTTTATCAGTAGCATGAAAACAGACTAATACATGGCTGAATAACATTTCTGCCTCCCCACATTCAAGCAGAGAGCCCTGCTTAATGCCTCAAAGGAGGCATGTGTCAGGGTGGAAAAAGTAGTAGCCTAGGAACCTTTCAGGCTTTTTCAAAACAAAATACTAACTATTCATAATAGGTCCAACTGGAAACCACCCAAATATACATCAAAAGTATAATAGATAAATAAAATGTGATCATACAATGGAGTACTATGCAAACCAATGCAACGAGAACGAACAAACCTTTGAGGAGGGATTTGGGTCAGGGTTAGTGATAGGAAGGGGCATATGGAAGGCCTCTCAGTACTGGTAATGTTCTGTTTCTTGATCTGGGACACGGTAATCAAATCTATGTGTCACTTAATGAAAATTCACCAAGCTTTAAACTTAGAATATCTGCTCTTTTCTGTATGAATGTTACATTAATTTTAAAGTCTACTTTTTAAATTTTCCATTCTCATTTTGGGGAGGGAAAGACATTAGTAAAGTATATGGTGTGTCAGATAATGGTAAGTGCAACTAAAAAATAGTAACAAAGCAAGAAAAAGGAACAGTCAGTGCCAGGTATATAGATGGGTATGGAAGGGGATTTACAATTTTAAAGGGTCATGGAAAGCTGAACTTAGAAGGTGACATTTAATTAGAAACCTGAAAAGAGTATGGGTATGCAGCTTTCTAAAGGAAAGTACACAGAATAGATAGTTCAACCTATGCTTGTATACTGCAAATTATATCACAAAGAGAAAGTAATCCACCTAACTTCTACCATCTTTTATTTTTTTCAGTGGAATTATAACAACCTGGACCATTATAACATTTTTTAAAATGTTGTTTCCCCTGTGTGCATACAACAGAACAAAACAAAACAACACTAACCCCTTAGAGGAAGGGGATTGATTCCTAGGCACAAGCAGAGCTAGTCAAAAGTAAAAGGAATGAGTTTACCCAGAATAGAAAGAAAACGGTCCAAGCAGGATAAAGAGGAAAGCTGAAGGAGAAATTACTCATTTTTACTCATTCACTTACTCACTCACTCTACAGAGAAATCAAAGGTTAATCACCGGCCGGGCGTGGTGGCTCACACCTGTAATCTCAGCACTTTGGGAGGCCAAGGCAGGTGGATCACAAGGTCCAGAGATTGAGATAATCCTGGCTAACATGGTGAAACCCCATCTCTACTAAAAATACAAAAAATTAGCCGGGTGTGGTGGCATGTGTAGTCCCAGCTACTCAGGAGGCTGAGGCAGGAGAATCACTTGAACCCGGGAGGCAGAGGATGCAGTGAGCCGAGATCGTGCCACTGCACTCCAGCCTGGGCAACAGAGCGAGACTCTGTCTCAAAAACAAACAAACAAAAACATGGTTAATCACCAATCTATGCCACATAACACACACACATACATATGGTTTTCTATCAATCAAGGATCACCAGACACAAGGAAAAAAAAATTTTTTTTTGGAGAGAGGGTATCACTCTGTCACCTAGGCTAGAGTGCACTGGCACAATCAAACTTCACTGTAACCTTGAACTCCTGGGCTCAAATGATCCTCCCACCTCAGCCTCCTGAGCAGCTAGGACTACAGGTACATGTCACCATGCCCAGCTAATTAAAAAATTTTTTTAGAGATGGGGGTCTCACTATGTTGCCCATGCTGGTCTCAAACTCCCGGACTCAAGCAATCCTCCCACCTCAGCCTCCCAAAGTGCTGGGATTACAGCCTCATTTGAGGAAAATTTCTAACAAAATACTGACAAAAACAACCAACAAAACAAAAAAAAAAAACTCAGAGAGATAAGATGTTATATCCTTGGAATAAGAACAGATGCTGTTTAAAAGAGAGGGGGTAACAGAATTGCACACTACAATGGGTGAATTTCTTCATATATAAATGATACCTCAATGAAGATTGACAGGCTATTACCTAAATCTCCAGGATGCAGCCTAGTGAAAAAGGTGAGCTCCACAGCTGTGAAGGGACCCAGAGCTGCACTGTCCAAAAGGGTAGCACGAGCTACATATGGCTACTGAGCACTTGAAATGTGGCCAATGCAAGGGAAGATGTGCTAGAAATGTAAAGTACACACTGCATTTCAGACTCAATACCAAAAACAACCTGTAAATATCTCATTAATAATTTTTATATTCAATACATTTTGAAATGATAATATCTTGAATATATGGGGTTATATAAAAGGCAGTACAAAAATTGATTTTATCTGTTTCTCTTTGTTAATGTGTCTTCTAGAATTTCATATGTGGCTCATGTGTGGCTTGTATATCATATTTCTGTTGGATACCTCTATGCTAGATCATACATTCGCTGTGGACAAGGGTTGTATCTAAATCATTTTTGTGTCCTCTAGGGAGCCTAGAGCATCATAAACCCTCAGTAGGTATTTGCTATTTGCTGAATTTTAAAAATATATATATGTTTCACAGCATTAGTGTCCAAGTCTGTCATGTTAAAAGTGTGCATTTTGGAAGTTCAGTCTGAGGCAAGTTGGATAGTCAATTCAAGTAACAACATCTCCATTCCTGTATTTGGTTGATTATTTAAAGTATTTTCGGTATCCTTTATAGATTATGATTTATGCTTCCATATTTAATCAGAACACAACAATCATTTTAATCACTACCTTCAATTATTTCAATAGCTATGATCACATAGATTTCAAAAATCGAGAAATGAAAAAAATCTGCTTTATCTTTTAAAGAGTGCCCTCTAGTGATCATAATATTATTAAAATACACTGGTCTGCAAAGATGAATTAGCTTTATAATAAAATTTAAAAATAAATGACTATGAAATCTGTATATAACAATGTTAAAGGACTCTCTGAAAAATACAGTAAAAACTAAATGCAGCAGACTGCTAAAATATTGGCTTCAAGCGAACCAGTTTAATGAAAGAAAGCAGAAGAGAAAATATCCCTCAGTGTCATTTTAAAAATATCAATAAACATTCCATTTTATAAAAGTGGGTAAACTCAAAACCTAATTTTCTACCAACATTACTCCAAAGAGATCCACGTAAACACTCTGACCTCCAAGTTCATCAAAGCAACTAATGTAGCTGAGATATGGGCTGATTCAGGAAAATAGGAGGCCTCCTATAGAATTATATAAATGTTTCAAGCAGTTTGGATTTTTACAAGTCATAATAGGGGTTAATTTAACTAGTTCAGCCAGTACTCCTGAACTAGCAAAGGAGAAAAATGATTCATTATATTAGGACTGGCTAGAAAATTTTTGGAAAATAAGAAAAGGTGGGCTGGGTGCAGTGGCTCACGCCTGTAATCCCAGCACTTTGGAAGGCCAATGCAGGTGGACTACTTGAGGTCAGGAGTTCGAGATCAGCCTGGCCAACATGGCAAAACCCTGTCTCTACCAAAAACACAAAAATTAGTAGTCGGGCATGGTGGTAGGCGTCTGTAATCCCAGCTACTCGGGAGGCTGAGGCAGGAGAATTGCTTGAACCTGGAAGGCCAAGGTTGCAGTGAGCCGAGATTGCCCCATTGCACTCCAGCCTGGGGAACAGAGTGAGACTCCGTGTCAAAAGAAGAAAAAAGGTTTATTCACAGTGGGTGATTTCTGGTACCAAAGAGAGACTGATGCCAGACGTGAACAAGAGAAGCCCCTGATAATAGGTTTCTTTCCTTTGAGGTATCTAAGCCAATAAAAAGGTCAGAAATTACTCTGAAGAAATGTGGCCAATATAAGTGAAGGGACTGGTGCCAAGAGCAATCTCATGGAAAATCAGTATGTCTGAAGTTCAGGGTGTGATGCAGAGTCAGGAACCAAATCAGAGGCCAATTTTTAGTGACAAGAATCTGGGACTAGGCAAAGAACGTCAAAAGAGGAGCAGTTTTCTTGCTGCAGCCTTGAACAGCCAAGCCAGTGATGCCACAGCAGGCCCAAAGGCCCAGGACGTTGCATAATAGGATGTGCACACCCAGTAAGTCTACTCCTGTGCCTCAAACATATACCAGTTCATGGGGACTCACCCAGAACCCAGTTAGATACTTAAAGATGAAAAATACCCAGCCCATTTTGATGGCTCTATGTGACATGCCAGTACTCATTTACTGCTTATAGCTCTTCTTTGGGGTGACTGAGAATAATGAAGAAGAGAGAGTCTTCAAATAATACATCTTCTTACTTTGTCTGCCAGAAGAAAAGCCATAGGATCAGAATCTATATAAATTCCTGAGCAATGTCTAATGTCCTGCTGAAAAAGCTGGACTGAAGGATTGGTAGCACAAAGGTTGGAGATTAAGAATGTGGATAGGCAGACTATGTGAAAGGGCTCAGAGAATTTGAACACACACATGAATTCTCACTTAAAGGCCCAGCAGCAGAAGTTCTTAATCATCCTTCTCAGTCTCCTTTGCCGGTTCTTCTTCCTCCCATCCTCTTTGGGTTGGAAAGCCCCACCATGCAATTTAAGGACTCTCATGTATACTCACTTCTTTAGTAACCATATCTAATCCCATGACTTTAAATACCACCTATCTGAAATCTCTCTCTCTCTACCTCCAGACTCACATATCCAACTACCTACCCAATATCTCAATTTGAATATTTGAATCTCTTCCACTGACATCCAAAACTAGTCTTTCCGCCAAAACCTGCTCCTCTTTTCCCTCACACTAGCCTTCCCCATTTCATCTGATGTCAACTGGGATTGGTACTTATGCTGTCTGCAAAGAATATGGTATTTATCAGTGATTTTTTTAAATAATAAAAGAAAAAAACTGAAGCAGCTGGAATCCATTTATTCTTACAGTGGCATTCTCAGAAAATGATTTATTATTTCCTACTACCTAAATCCCTGAAAATGCTCTTGATTTTGTCCTTTCTGAAACTGAATTTTTCAGCTTTTTATTAGATTCTGAAAATTTTTCACTTTTCCTTAAAATAGAGTCAGTTTCTGTTGCTTACAAATAAAACCCCTTATCCTACATGACCACCACCTCTCAACTCATTGACTCTGCTTCAGTACCCCTCAACTCTCAATTCACCACCAGTCCCATCTCCTCCCCTCCTTTCCACTTACAGTTAGAATGAAACAGCAGAATCATCCCACTTTCAACTAAAATAGACTCTACTCACACAACCCAGAATGCTCTTAGTGTTGAGAAATTCTGAAAATTAAAATTATCACGCTGGGCGTGGTGGCTCACATCTGTAGTCCCAGCACTTTGGGAGGCCAAGGTGGGTAGATCACTGGAGGTCAGGAGTTTGAGACCAGCCTGGCCAACATGGCAAAACCTCATCTGTACTAAAAATACAAATATTAGCCAGGCATGGTGGTGCATGCCTGTAATCCCAGCTACTTGCGAGGCTGCGACATAAGAGTCGCTTGAACCTGGGAGGCGGAGGTTGCAATGAGCCAAGATCATGCTACTACACTCCAGCCTCAGCAACAGAGCGAGACTCTGTCTCAAAATGAAATAAAGTAAAATAAAATAAATCACCAAAGTATTTATTTCCAAACTGGCTATGTCAGCTATTTGTGGAAAGCACAGAGTAGCAAATCTCTAGCAGGGATTTCCTCACAGCTCATCTAAAATAGTTGCATAACACAAATTCTGATCACCTTTTCCTCTGATCCCACACAATCTCTATTATACCAGCTAACCTCAGTCAAACACAATTAATTATTCCTAACTTCATGAAAGAAGGGACTATGTCTCATCTCTGTAGCCCCATGTGAGGCACGTTGAATTTGCTTGTTGAATTTGTTCAGAAAGTAAAACAAAAATTGCTTTATATTTTTTGATGTCACCATACTTCAAATGATGCATACTCTGAGTTGTATGTGATGTTGACTATCCACTACTAGTACATTTGAGTGTGAAATGTCTGCTAAGCTTTTCTGTTCATATTGAAAAATCAAGAGGAAATTATGTGGGCCTACAGGTTGCTTAATTATCTTGATACTTCTAACAAATTCATGAACTAGCCTAGGTCCAATTTCGCACACATTTCAAAAATACGAATACCATATTACCCACATTAATTCTTCCCATCTCATCATTTTTTTAGTAAATATCTTATACTTAGGACTTGGGAATGCTATGGGTAAACAAAGTGATCCAAACTTTTAAATTTTCATCAAATCCTACCCTAAATTTTACCCTTAAAAACATCTCATCAACAAGGTGAACATGAGTATCAATACCACTATACAATTCTCAAAGGTCAACAAGATGTGTTTTACCCCAAATTATGTAACTTTATATAGGAGAGCCTCACAAATATATGGACAAGCACCATCTAGTGGTAGAAAGAATTACTCTGGATAAACAGTTACCATTGATGGTACAGCTAAATTACCTGCCAAAATCCAAATCATGGGCAGTTCTTATACAGGACCCAATTTTTTTAACAAATTTAATAATCACGTCATGACTAAATCAAGGGTAATGCCAGTTTTAGGGTAAATATTAAGTCTGAATGGTCATGAGAACAGTCCAGATTGAGCTGTTTTAACATCCTTGCATGAATCTTAAACCCATAGTAGAGGAAAGCAAATGCCTATATTGAGCACTGACTCTGCACATGTGTTGGGCATATTTACATATGTTGTATCTCATTTAACCCTCACAGGAACAGGGTAAGAAAGTTATTAAAATCCCCACTGTACAAATGAGAAAACTGACCCTCACGTATTAAATAATGTATCCTAAGTCATACAGACATTAAGTGATAGAGTCATCTCCTCATCTACCCCACCCCCTGCCATCTATTACTGGGTCCTTGGGAAAAAATTAAGTAATACAATAGAAGAAGTGCACAGAAACTCACTGAGCACTTAGTTTAGGGCACACGTAACCGACCCCAACATGGAAAAGAGAGATGCGCTATTGTATAACAGATAATCCCACAGACTTTAGGATTAACCAGACTGCTGCCATCTTAAAAGAAAACAGAGCCTGTATTAGTCTATTTTCTGTTGCTCATAATAGAATACCTGAAACTAGGTAATTTATAAAGAAAAGGAATTTATTTCTTGCAGTTATGGAGGCTGAGAAGTCTCAGATTGACAGGCCAGATCTGGGGATGTTTAAAGACTATCACAACAAGGGAGTCCTTTATAAATTATTCAGCCCAATTTCAAAAGTTTCTCTTCTTTCTCAGACAGATAGACACACACACACACACACACACACACACACAGCTGACATAAATACGTGCAAACTGGAGCTAGCATTCAAACTGCTGCTTTCCAATAGACATGCTCTTTGTGGCAAGGTTTGCAAGGTTTCTTCAAGGCCTTACATCTTCACATAATTTGATCGATATCACCTTAAGAACCAAAGGATGTGACAAATAGATGAGAGCTTAGCTTAATGAAAGAGGACATGACTTTGGAACCAAGAATGAGACCAAAAACTTTAAGTATGTAGTAACTGATTAATATATTATTTGGATTTTCTTAAAGGTAGCAAGAAAGAGAAAGGGGTGAGAGGAGAATCAATCATAAAGGTGGGCCCACCTCCTCTTTGTCTTCCCCTTCCTACATAGTTCTAAAGTCATAGGTGGGGCCAAGCGAGGTAGGTATCTATGCTTGGGTGAAGACAGACAGTGGGGGTTGGTAGCGGCACTGAGACTCAGCAAGGTGAGGACAGCATCGATGCATGCGGCAGCCCTGCTTAGGGTGTCATGGCCCAAGCAGAGAAAGGAGGGTATAAGAACAGGGGGCAGGCTGCATGTGGTGTCAGAGCCCAGTGTGTATAAGGAGGCATCCCCTAGGGGAAGGGGGATGGATGTAGAGGATATTGGGTGCTGGAGCCCAGACAACTGAGCAAGGCCTCTGAGGAGGATGCTCAGCATGTGGTTTCAAAACCCAAGCATGTGATATCAGAGCCAGAGTGAGGTGAGGGGGGATATTAAGAGATACTGGTTACATACAGATGGGTTAAGCAAATAAGTAAATATATTAAGGATAATGGGACCCACATTTCTGATTTTCAGGAAATGAACAAATATGAAAAGAAGGAAACAGAGAGATTAGATGAGGATCTGCGATATCAATATGAACTTATAATTTCAAGAGAGATAGATAAGAACTAGATATAAAAACAATATACGTGGCTGGGCGTGGTGGCTCACACCTGTAATCCCAGCACTTTGGGAGGCCAAGGTGGGCAGATCACCTGAGGTCAAGAGTTCAAGACCAGCTTGGCCAATATGATGAAACCACATCTCTACTCAAAATACAAAATTAGCCAGGCGTGGTGGCATATGCCTGTAATCCCAGCTACTTGGGAGGCTCAGGCAGGAGAATCGCTTGAACCTGGGAGGCGGAGGTTGCAGTGAGCTGAGACTGCACCATTGCACTCCAGCCTGGGCAACAAGAGTGAAACTCCATCTCAAAAACAAAAAATATATATATACATGTAAAAGTGCATAGATCTATATATGAATATATACATATATTCCCTTACTCTCCCCTGAGAGGACTGGGAACAGCAACTCCTCAATGGCAACAAGTATACCTTGTGCCCAGATCTTGGCTTCTAAATATTTTTCTCCACTAAAATGAAAAAGGGATCCTCAGAGAAACTGCTGATTCCAAGAATGGAACAGGAAAAGTGCAAGATGAGACTGGGACATCTTAGAAAGTAATCAAGTCCTCCAAGAATAATAGGGACATGTCAAAAGGATAGAGAAGTTAGCTTGAAGGGGCTCCCATGGGCCAAATCTAGGACAATTTGAGTATTAAAATAATGTTAGTAAAAATAGGCTATATCCCACTGAATACAACAGAAAAGCAGGAGTCTACACTGGTTTAAAGAAGTAAATGGGGAGGCCGAGGCAGGCGGATCACCTGAAGTTGGGAGTTCGAGACCAGCCTGACCGACATGGAGAAACCCCATCTCCACTAAAAATACAAAATTAGCCGGGCGTGATGGTGCATGCCCGTAATCCTAGCTACTCAGGAAGCTGAGGCAGGAGAATCACTTGAACCTGGGAGGCGGAGGGTGCAGTGAGCCAAGATTGCACCATAGAACTCCAGCCTAGGCAACAAGAGCAAAAGTCTATCTCAAAAAACAAAACAAAACAAAACAAAAAAGAAGTAAAAAGAAGAAGCAGCAGCAGCAGCAGCAGCAGAAGTAAATGAATACAGTCATGCACCACATAACAACATATCTGTCAATGACAGACCACGTTAAACAGTGCAAGATTATATACCAAAAGATTAAAGTGGAACTGAAAGGTTCCTATCACCTAATGATGTTGCAGCCATTGTAACACTGTAGCACAACTAATTACTCACTTTGTAACCTACTGCCAAGATTATATACCAAAAGATTAAAATGGAACTGAAAGATTCCTATCACCTAATGATTTTGCAGCCATTATAACACTGTAGCACAAATAATTACTCACTTTTGTAACCTACTGCAGCTTCCAATTAAATAAAGTATAGCACATATAATTATGTACAGTACAGTACACTTGAAAAGGATAATAAATGACTATATTCCTGGTTTATGTATTTACTACACTTTTATCATTATTTTAGAGTGTACTCCTACTTAGCTCACTGTAAAACAGCTTCAAGCAGGTCCTTCAGGAGGTATTCCAGAAAGGAGGGATTGTCATTAAGCAACACATGACTGTACATTAAGCGTCTGATAAAGAATTTACAGTTTCAAAGTGTTTCCACAAAAATGCTTGTTATCTACAAAAGAGAATAGAATATAATAGAGAATCCTCACAGACACCATCTTAGTCAAGTAATCACAATGAGAATAATCAATAATGGGACCAAGAAAAATCATTTGCTACCTGATAGGATTCTATGAGAAAAACATAGCATCATCACAGCCAAGGGTACCTACATAACCTGAATTCAATCATGAGGAACCATTGAGGCCAGGTGCAGTGGTTCATACCTATAATCCTGGCATTTTGGGAGGCCGAGGTGGGAGCATCACTAAAGCCCAGGAGTTTGAGACCAGCCTGGGCAAAATAGTGAGAACCCAGCTCTACAAAAATTACAAAAAAATTAGCTGGGTGTGGTGGCATGTGCCTGTGGACCCAGCTACTTGGGAAGCTGAGGGGGAGGATCACTTGAGCCTGGGAGGTCGAGGCTGCAGTGAGCCATGATCACACCACTGCACTCCAGCCTGGGTGACAGAGCAAGATTGTCTATTTAAAAAAAAAAACAAAACTACTGAACAAATTCAAATTGAATGGTATTCTACAAAATAACTGGCATGTATTCATCAAAACTATCAAGGTCAAGGTCACTAAAGTTAAGGAAAAATTGAGGAACTTTTGCAGAAAAAAAGGAGTCTGGAGAGACACGGCTACTAAATGGAAGGCATGATTGTGAACTGAATTATTTTGCTGTAAAGCATATTGTAACCATTGGCAAAACTTGCATAGAATCGACAGAATTAGATGGTGTCACTGTACCAATTTCTGATTAACAAATCTAATTAATTTCTTATTTTGATGAGTATACTGTGGTTATTTTGAAGAACATCTTTGTTTGTATGAAATATACACTAAAGTATTTCAAAGTGATAAAGTACCACATCAGCATCTAATGGTTCTGGAAGAAAAAACTGTACTGTACTTTCAACTTTTCTACAAATTTGAAATTATTTTAAAATAACAATTTTAACTTAAAGGTGAGTGAGGAATGCTACAGAGGCCTCCATATAGACTGCCAGCTGTTTCTTGTGACAACAGCAGCTGGAAGAGCTCAGCTTGTAGACAAACATGCACTGAGGGGAAAAGACCCAGAGCATGTCAAAGTCCAGGGGCTTCCAAGCCAGGATGCACCATCAAGCATCGAGTAAAACTCTCGAGGGAAAAGTGAAGCTCCTGTGAAGGAGCCACAGGACAAGGAGACTAAGGAGCCAATAGGGTATATTGATTATGTGGGACACTTCGAATGTGGGATATTAGGAAGTGTTCGGACTCAGATAAACTACAGGTGTCTAACTTGCAGATGACTCATCTGGCCTCCATGACAACAAAAGTGAAGAATTTTTAAGGTGATCAGGAATATGAATGCTGGGCGTGGTGGCTCATGGCTATAATCCCAGCACTTTGGGAGGCGAGGCGGGCATATCATTTGAGGCCAGGAATTGGAGACGAGCCTGGCCAACATGGCGAAACTCCGTCTCTACTAAAAATGCAAAAATTCGCCGGGAGTTGTGATGGGTACCTGTAATCCCAGTTACTCGGGAGGCTGAGGCAGGGGAATTGCTTGAATCCAGGAGCCGGAGGTTGCAGTGAGCCGAGATCGCAGCACTGCACTCCAGCCCATGCGACAGAGTGAGACTCTGTCTCCAAAAAAAAAAAAAAAAAGAGAAACAAAAGAAAAAGAAAAAAGGAATATGAGCATGATAAATATAATAAAGTTACATTTAGTAAAGCATACTTTGAATGGAGCATGGTGTATGAAGAAAAGCAGTGAGTATCAAGCCAGAAACATGCAGTGGCGCTCACGGTAGAAGGCCTAGGATATTAGGTTTAGGTGTCTCTATTTCATTTGCTAGGCAATAGAAAGACATTAAAGAATTTGCAAGCAATATCCCAGCATATAGGATAGATTAGGAGAGATTAGAGGCAGGAAGACCAGTTGGGAGATTACTGTAATAAGATTATAAGTGTTGAAATAAAGGCAGAAGTAGGAAGCAAAGAGAGATTAAGGCAATACAAAGTTAATGGGATTTAGTAACTTAACGTATATAAAGGAAAGAAAAGATGAAGACTATTAAGAGCCTTGAAGAGAAATTGCACTCTGTTAAAAGGAAGAGATAGAGCTAGTAACCTATGCCTTAGTGAAAATATACAACAGGCAATTGAAAATGCAAACCTGGAAGTTGGGAGAGGACAGAAAGGAGAAAGATCTCACTTTCATTTACACAAGCTTATTGAAAGATACAGCATAAGACAAGAAGACTGCTGTAAATGGAATCTTGAGAAATGCCTCTTGTTAGGAAAAGAGACAGTGAAACAAAAAAATATTTCAATGAGTCAGAGAAAATGTCTTCTGCTAGTTATTTTTCCATTTGTCCCTCCCCTTCCACTTTCCCTGCTGCTTGCCCTAGGCTTCTGGTTGGGTTCAGCCAATGAAAGACCCCAACAGGGGATTAATAGGGTGGGAGAAAAATAGGCACAGAGCGTTTTCTCCAGGCTCCCAATGCACAGATTGGCTATGTCTCTCCACTGAAGGCCACAGCCTTTCCACATGGCTGCCTCCCCAGGTTTTAGAGCTGTGCCCAAGGATGGTCATGGCTCCCTTCTGCTGCTTACTCCAGGGTACTGTGCTATCCTTTGTTACCAATAAAACATTCTTTATTATTATCCTGCCAATACCTCTGTAAATAGCCTTTTATTAAATTTTCTTCAGTTGCCAATTTGAATGCATGATTTGGGCCAGGCGCAGTGGCTCACACCTGTAATCTTAGCACTTTGGGAGGCCAAGGCAGGCAGATCACCTGAGCTCAGGAGTTTGAGACTAGCCTGGGCAACATAGCAAAACTCTGTCTCTACTAAAAATACAAAAAATTAGCTGGACCTGGTGGTGCATGCCTGTAGTCCCAGCTACTCGGAGGCTGAGGCACGAGAATCGCTTGAACCTGGGAGCTGTAGGTTTGCAGTGAGCCAAGATTATGCCACTGCACTCCAGTCTGGGCAACAGAGAAAGACTGTCTCTAGATAGATAGATTAGATAGATAGATAGATAGATAGAATGTATGATATGTTTCCTGCTACGACCTTCATTTGAATATAGTGCCCTATCTTTGTCAGTCATAATAATCTCCATAATGTATATTGAAGCATTTAATTTATCCCACTATCCCTAAACAAAGTTCTAGTCAACAGCCTTTTCTAGAATGTAATTGGTCCATTCTATCTTTGATCTCCTCTGTTGTCTTTCAAGATTCTGGATTCTAAGATACCAGAAGTAGAATACATCCTCTCCAAATCCTGTGGAAGCTGGTGCCTCCTGGGAAAAGGAAATCGGGGGATATCAGAAAACTTCACACCTGCAAGTCAGGAAGCAACTTCTTTCTTATCTGGTAAGAGAGACATTGTTCCACAGACACTGGCCTGGCCTTCCTCAACTATGGTTCTTCTCTGAAAATGTCATGTAAGTCTCCATGTTTTACCAAAAGATATGAGGCTGGCCAGAAGGATATGAGGCTGGCCCATGGAATGATTCAGCCAAGCTCAGCTGAGCAGATGAGAATGAGAATGGTAAAAGCTCCACTGACCAGGCACAGGAGAGAGAACTGAGGAGAGAAGTGAGAAATGAGAAGTAGAAGCCAGAGGAGGGCTCTGGAAATGTTACTGGGGTTATGAATTGTATCTCCTTTAAGAAATAACAGTATAGAAAGAAATTCCTTTTCAATTTTTATTGTTTTTTCAGGTATGGCCTGTGCTTCTTTAAAAATACCACCACTCGGCCGGGCGCGGTGGCTCACGCCTGTAATCCCAGAACTTTGGGAGGCCAAGGCCGGACGAATCATGAGGTCAAGAGATCGAGACCATCCTGACCAACATGGTGAAACTCTGTCTCTACTAAAGATACAAAAAAATTAGCTGGGCGTGGTGGCACATGCCTGTAGTCCCACCTACTTGGGAGGCTGAGGCAGGAGAATTGCTTGAACCTGGGAGGCAGAGGGTGCAATGAGCCAAGATCGTGCCACTGCACTCCAGCCTGGCAAAACAGTGAAACCTTGTCTCAAAATAAAAAAATATATAAAAACATAAAAAAATACTACCACTCTTGGACTGATCTGTCTGATCCCAGCACAAATTAGATTATATTTACAAGGCAGAAGCTCTGTGGGTGCCTTTCTTCCTTCCCACCCCTCCCTCACTTGAATGCAGCTCTCCAGCAAGACCTGCCTCCACATTAGAGGAGTGCCAATAAACAGGAAGCATTCTTCCCAGAGAAACATACCAGAAATCCATTTATTGAAACCCACAACATCTGCATTTTTTGCAGTACAGTCACACTTTTGAAAGAGTAGTTTGGAATATAATGCCTACACCTTACTTACTTAGTGGGGTCAATAAAATTAGATTATTACATGGAAAGAAAATTACGAATGCATCATATACACAGAATCAGAATGTTAGAACAGGGCCCTTGGAGAACAGAGTCTAGACATTTTAATGGTCCTCAGAATATCTGACATTACTTAAGCAAAAGAAAAACAAATTAATTAATTGGTAGCCAAAGTGAGCAACTGATTATAACTATCATAATCTCAGATTCCAAATTTTTATTTTCATCACAAAAAGCCTCCTTATTCTAACTGACTTTAGAGTGGAGGCTAAAACTAATCTTTTAAAATGAATAGATAGTATTTTGAAAGACCTATATAATTGGAAATGAAAATTAAAATAACAATGTCATTTAACACTCATCAAACTAGCAAGAATGTTGAAGTTGGGTAACATCAAGACTAGTGAAGATGTTGAGAAACAGGAGTTTGCATCTATTACTGGTGAGGTATATAATGGTACAACCATGTGGTAAACTGAATCATTATTCATAATTCTTCACACCCTCCCTGTACTAGAATTCTAATCCACATCATTGCCAGATAACTTTGCAGTACCATTCACTAGAATATACAGAATATATAGCCCTACCTCACGGATGTTGGGCTTGGCCTTGTGACAAGCTGGGGTCCATGAAATGTGAGCAAAAATGACAGCAAGTCAGTTCTATGTATGGCCCACATGAGGTTTTACATATTTCCACTTGGCTTCTTTTGCTTCTGCCACTTTCCATGAGGAAAACATGTCCTAGGTAACTGTTAGTCCAAGAGAATGAGAGACATGGAGCAGACCTGAACCCAACCTCAATCCAACCTGCAGACTGGAGCTCAGTGCCTGAAGTCCAGAATCCTGCCCAGCTAATTTTTGTTGCAATCTACCCACAGGTTGACAGGGAAAAATAAATACTTACTATATGAAGCCACTGAGTTTTGAACTTGGGGTCTTTTGGGGTTTGTTGTTGTTGTTGTTATTGTTGTTGTTTGAGAGAGTCTTGCTCTGTCACCCAGGCTGGAGTGTAGTGGCCTGATCTCGGCTCACTGCAAACTCCGTCTCCTGGGTTCAGGCAATTCTCTCCCTCAGCCTCCCAAGTAGCTGAGATTGCAGGCTCCTGCCACCACGCCCAGCTAATTTTTTTTGTATGTTTTAGTAGAGAAGGGGTTTCACCATGTTGGCCAGGCTGGTCTCGAACTCCTGACCTCAGGTGATCTGCCTGCCTCGGCCTCCCAAAGTGCTGGGATTACAGGTGTGAGCCACCATGCCCAGCCTTGTTTCTTTTAATGTAGCATCACTACAGCAATCTCTGACTGAGACAACCATTCTGTAAAGGAATCTGGCAATACCCAGTAAAGTTGAAGATGCTCATATGGCCCAGCAAACGGCACTTCCAAGTATGTGTCCTAAAGCAGTGGTTCTCAGACCAATCAGATCTAATATTTCCTTTTAAAGGAAATTATCTGAAACACCCTTTTTCTATTCTATAACAAACATAATAGATAATCTACCTAATCCATATAAATTTCAAAGAAAAAAAAAAAAGGCTGGGCATGGTGGTTCATGCCTGTAATTCCAGCACTTTAGGAGGCCAAGGCAGGCAGATCACTTGAGGTCAGGAGTTCAAGACCAGCCTGGCCAACATGATGAAACTCTGTCTCTAGTAAAAATACAAAAATGAGCCAGGTGTGGAGCCAGGCACCTGTAATCCCAGCTACTCGGGAGACTAAGGAAGGAGAACCGCTTGAACCCGGGAGGTGGAGGCTGCAGTGAGCCAAGATCATGCCACTGCACTCTAGCCTGGGAGACAAAGCGAGATTCCATCTCAAAAAAAAAAATTGTTTTCAAAAAACCCCCATAATATCTGATATGGTTTGGCTGTGTCCCCATCCAAATCTCATCTTTAATTGTAGCTCCCATAATCCTCATGTGTCATGGGAGGGACTTAGTGGGAGGTAATTGAATCATGGGGGTGGGTTTTTCCCATGCTGTTGTGATAGTGAATAAGTTTCATGAGATCTGATGGTTTTATAAAGGGCAGTTCCCCTGCACACGCTCTCTTGCCTGCTACCATGTAAGACATGCCTTTGCTCCTCCTTCGCCTTCTGCCATGACTATGAAGCCTCCTCAGCCATGTGGAACTGTGAGTCCATTAAACCTCTTTTTCTTTATAAATTACCCAGTCTCGGGTATTTCTTCACAGCAGTATGAAAATGGACTAATGCAATAGCCTAACTAAAATATGAAAAAAATACATAAAATATTACTTATAATCAGGGCAGAATTGAGATGAGGCAAGCAAGGTGCTTAGGGTGCAAAATTTAAGCAGGCAAAGTAGTGAAAGTACTGAACCTGCACTTGCAGGACACTTGCATTTGTATCTCCTCAAATTTTGCACCTAAGCAACCTCACTTGCCTCACCTTAGTCCTGGCCCTATTTAGAAAATATAATTATATTAAAAATGCAAATTTTTTCATGACTTTGGTAGAGGATTTAATGAAGTAAACAGACATTTGCACTCCTATATACTGTCATCATGAATGCAAAACCTACAAATGCAGGATGATACAAGTGTGTTACTTTGTTCGGAACTTGGTAAAATTTCCGAACAAAGTAAACTCTTCCCTCAATGTGCATGATAGTTTAAATTCAAAAAGAAAAGGCCCGGCGCAGTGGCTCACGCCTGTAATCCCAGCACTTTGGGAGACCGAGGCAGGTGGATCACGAGGTCAGGAGATCGAGACCATCCTGGCTAACACGGTGAAACCCCGTCTCTACTAAAAATACAAAAAATTAGCTGGGCGTGGTGGCAGATGCCTGTAGTCCCAGCTACTTGGGAGGCTGAGGCAGGAAGGAGAATGTCGTGAACCCAGGAGGCGGAGCTTGCAGTGAGCCGAGATCACGCCACTGCACTCCAGCCTGGGCGACACAGTGAGGCTCTGTCTCAAAAAAAAAAAAAGAAAAGAAAAGAAAAAGCATATACTAAAACCATGCCAAAAATACTTTGGTTTTATAGACAAAATGGAGGTTCTAGAGTCAGATCATCATACAAAGAATTTTTAAGTACAAGAATACCTGAGGGGGATATTTAAAAATTATATGGGAGAAAGGCAGACACACACGTCACAGGTCATCATACATCCTTTGTCCTCACCCTCTCCCAATGTCAATAAGGCTCTCCCAATCAATAATTGAAAATATTCCTCCTGCTGGCATTTCCTGAAGAAAAAAGAAATATGTAAAAATTTAAAAAATAAAATGTCCCCCACAAATTTCCAAACTTTCCCTAGTTGATCCCATTACTATTGATAACACTTTCCCTTGATAAATCAAATACATGTGTAAAGAGGTCCATGCAGCATTAATTTACCTATTTATGGTAAAATGGATATGCCATGGTATACTCATGCAATGAAATACTATATAACAATTAAATTAAGTATATCTACAACATGGGAAGATCTCATAAACATAATGTTTGATAATAGAAACAAGTTGCAGAAGGGTATGGGCAGTAGTCTATCATGTACATTTTTAAAACTCACAAAATAACTATACATTATTGATGAATACATTAAATACATGGGAACAATACCAACTTCAGGACAATGGTTACCAATAAAGAAAACATGTGGGGAAAGGGATGTAGGAGTACCTTTACCTGTCTAGGTAACAGTTTATTTTTAAAAACAGAGAGGCCAGGAGCAGTGCTCACACCTGTAATCCCAACACCTTGGGAGGCCAAGGCAGTAGCATCGCTTGAGCCCAGGAGTTTGAGGTCAGTCTGGGCAACATGGGGAGACCCCATCTTTACAAAAAGTTAAAAAGTAGTCTGACGTGGTGGCACACATGTGTAGTCCCAGCTACTCGGGAGGCTGAGATGGAAGGATTGCTTGAGCCTGGGAGGTCAAGGCTGCAAAAAGCCATGATTGTGCCACTGCACTCCAGCCTGGGTGATAGCACAAGAGCTTGTCTCAATTAACCAATCAATAAAGAGAGAGAGAGACAGAGGACAAGAAATACACAAGATGAGCCTAGAACATCTTGTAGTGCTAAAAAGTAAGGAAATTCTCAAAAGAAAAACCCACTATCATGGGAGTATGTCAAAGGAACACAGAAGCCAAGCAGCAGAGCTCTCGATGGACCAAAACTGGAAAAATGTGAACAATGAAATAAAGTAGTATTGGATTATAACCTGTATAAAATAAATATCCATGAATCCATACTGCTATAAACAAATGAATGGATAAGTGAATAAACAAATGGGTGAGGGAGAGGAGGCTGCAACACCAAGCAGAGGAGGCAGGAATCGGAGTGCGAGCAGTAGCTGAGTGGGCACCATGGCTGGGATCACCACCATCGAGGCGGTTAAGGGCAATATCCAGGTTCTGCAGCAGCAGGCAGATGATGCAGAGGAGCGAGCTGATCGTCTCCAGTGAGAAGTTGAGGGAGAAAGGTGTTCCCAGGAACAGGCTGAGGCTGAGGTGGCCTCCTTGAACCGTAGGATCCAGCTGGTTCATGAGAAGCTGGACTGTGCTCAGGAGCGCCCAGCCACTGCCCTGCAAAAGCTGGAAGAAGCGGAAAAAACTGCTGATGAGAGTGAGAGAGGTATGAAGTTTATTGAAAACCAGCCCTTAAAAGATGAAGAAAAGATGGAACTCCAGGAAATTCAACTCAAAGAAGCTAAGCACATTGCAGAAGAGGCAAATAGGAAATATGAAGAGGTAGCTCATAAGTTGGTGATCATTGAAAGAGACTTGGAACGCACAGAGGAACAAACTGAGCTGGCAGAGTACCGTTGCCGAGAGATGGATGAGCAGATCAGACTGATGGACCAGAATCTGAAGTGTCTGAGTCCTGCTGAAGAAAAGTACTCTCAAAAAGAAGACAAATATGAGAAAGAGATCAAGATTCTTACTGATAAATTCAAGGAGGGAGAGGCCCGTGATGGGTTTGCTGAGAGATCGGTAGCCAAGCTGGAAAATACAATTGAAGACCTGGAAGATAAACTCAAATGCACCAAAGGACAGCGCCTCTGTACACAAAAGATGCTGGTCCAGACTCTGCTTGACCTGAATGAGATGTAGAAAGCCCAGTCCCACCCTGCTGCTGCTCCTCCCTCTGACCCTGACTCTGCCTGAGGCCAGCCTGCCTGAAGCTGACCTTTAACTGAGGACTGATCTTTAACTGGAAGGCTGCTTTCCGCTTTTGCCTCCCGCTCCTCCCCTGTGTCTTTTTCCCCAAACTGTCTCTGCCTCTTCCCGGAGATTCCAGCTGGGCTAGAGGCTGAGCACCTTTGGAAACAACATTTAAGGGAATGTGAGCACAATGCATAATGTCTTTAAAAGGCATATTGTGATGTACACATTTGTGATTACCTTTTTTGTTGCTTTGTAGCAACCATTTGTAAAACATTCCAAGTAATTCCACAGCCCTGAAGCAGCAATCTAATCCTTTTCTCACTTTTGGAAGGTGACTTTTCAGCTTAATGCATATTGCCCGCTCCATAGAGAAGAAAAGGTATAGGCCTGCCTTACTGAGAGCCAAACAGAGCCCAGGGAAAGACTCCACTATTGGAAACCTCATTGCTCTGTACAAAGTACCAGCTAAACCAGAAAGGTGATTCCAGGAGGAGTTAGCCAAATAACAACAAAAACAAACAAAAATGTGCTGTTCAAGTTTTCAGCTTTAATATACCTTTGGACAACATTATTTCTTTTTTCTTATTTTTTTTTTCATTAGAATTGACCAAATCAGGATGTAAGAACTCTGAGACCAAATTTTTGTCCCATCTCTACCCCCTCCCAACTGCTTACAGAATGGATCATGTGACCCTTATGTTGAGGTGACCACTTAATTGCTTTCCTGCCTCCTTGAAAGAAAGATGATTATGTTTTTGCCACTGATTCAGCCATGTGAAACTCATTACCCTTTTCTGGGTTTGAAGCTGCTGTCTCTAAAAGTGCCATCTCATTGTGCTTTGTATCAGTCAGTGCTGCAGAAATCTTGAATAGCTTATGTACAAAACTTTTTAAATTTTATATTATTTTTAAACTTTGCTTCTTTGGGTTTGTGACACCCTGGCCATCCCACCTGGCTGTGACAGCCTCTGCACTCTGTGGGCTGGCAGTTTACTGATTTTTTAAAGTTTCTTTCCCTACCGAGTCCCCATTTTCTGGTAAGGTTTCTAGGAGGTCTGTTAGGTGTACATCCTGCAGCTTACTGGCTTAAAATGTACTCTCCTTTGATGTGGTCTCTTTGGGTCCAATTGGGAGAAAGAGAAATCAATAGTGCAACTGTTTTGATACTGAATATTGACAAATGTCTTTTTGAAATAAAGAACCAGTCCCTCCAAAAAATAAAAAAAAATAGTGGGAGAGAAGAGACAAATCTCCCATGCAGAAGAATTCAAAATAATTGATATAGAACACTACCTTTGAGGTGGGTGAAAGAGTGAATATACAAACAGGTAATGACCAGACCATATATAAAAATAGAACTCTGACTCACAACCTACAACAATCAGTCCAGAAAGCCAAACCACAATGCTATGGACTGAATATTTGTGTCACTCCAAAATTCATACATTGAAGCCTAATCCCCACTGTGATGGTACCTGGAGCTGGGGCTTTTGGGAGGTAATTAGGTCATGACGATGGAGTGCTCTGTAAATGAGATTAGTTCCCTTATAAGAAGAGACACGAGAAAGCTTGCTTCCTCTCTCTGCTCTCTTCCATGTGAGGACACAAGGAGAAGGCCATCTGCAAACCAGGAAGCAAGCCCTCCAGACACAGGATCTTCCAGCCCCTTAATCTTGCACTTCCCAGCCTCCAGAACTGTACGTAATAAATGTTTGTTGTTGAAGCCACTGAGCCCTATGGTATATTTGTTAGAGTAGCCTAAACTGACTAAGCACAAAACTTATGTAACAATTAGCCCAACAGTCAGGACTTGACCAGTAACTAACAGCTTCCCTAATTTCTGTACCCACTTTTAAATTAAGACTTGCTGGAGAAAGCAAAATATGTACCACTAATCAATAACACAGGATGTTCCACCCTCTCCACGTCAGCAGCCTCCAAACAGGGCCTACCTGGAGCTTTCCCTTTCTCTATAACATAGCTTTCCTTTTTTTGTTGTTTTTGTTTTGTTTTGTTTTGTTTTATTTTGTTTTTTGAGACAAAGTTTCACTCTTGTTGCCCAGGCTGGAGTGCAATGGCGCGATCTCGGCTCACTGCAACCTCTGCCTCCTGGGTTCAAACGATTCTCCTGCCTCAGTCTCCCGAGTAGCTGAGATTACAGGCATGCACCACCACGCCCAGCTAATTTTGTATTTTTACTAGACACAGGGTTTCTCCATGTTGGTCAGGCTAGTCTCAAACTCCTAACTTCAGGTGATCCGCCCACCTTGGCCTCCCAAAGTGCTAGGATTATAGGCATGAACCACCATGCCCAGCTGCTTTCCCTTTTTTCTACAATAAAGCGTTCCTACTCCTCTGACTGCCTCCAAGTCTCTGCCAAACACAAGTGATGATGGCTGACTCCTTTGTTATGGGAGGCTTTGAATAAATAGCCTTTACTTGTTCTCATTTAGATGGTCCTCATTTATTTCCACAAGAGGAAACAAAGCTTCATTCCTTAAGTGCAGCCTGTGCAAAGCGAACTCCTTCCCAAGAGCACAGTATGAGGAAGTAAAGGGTAACTTTACAGTGAAGAAACCTGATCAACACTCTCTCTGCCAGGGGATCAAGGTCAATATCAACAGTGATAAGTTGGTATTATGTCATGACAAAAATGGCACTTGACCTCTGTGGTCTTCCTCCCAAAAACTCAAAATCCCAGAAAATCATAAGAAGAATATCAAACAAATCTCAATTAAGCGATAGTCTAAAAAATTCTTGACTGGTACTCCTCAAAATTGTTAAGGTTATCAAAAACAAGGAAAGTCTGAAAAACTGCCACATCCAAGAGGATTCTAGGGAGATATGATACTCCTCAAAATTGTAAAGTTATCAAAAACAAGGAAAGTCTGAAAAACTGCCACATGCAAGAGGATTGTAGGGAGATATGATACTCCTCAAAATTGTAAAGTTATCAAAAACAAGGAAAGTCTGAAAAACTGCCACATCTAAAAGGGTTCTAAAAAATAGTTTTTTTGAAAAAGAGAGAGAAAGCAATATGAACACTTGTGGCGAAATGTTAACAAACGTTAAATATGGATGATGGGTCACCCCACTATTATTATTTCTCATATTATTTCCTGTCCCTTTCTATACAGGTAAAATATATCAGAATTTCAATTATTTTTAATGCTTCAAAATGAACTCCAATTTAACCCCAACAGATTCTAGCTTTTCCCTCTTTTTCACCCTCCCATCTGTCACACTGACAGTTTTCTGAAGGGACCAAGCAGATGCACATTCTCATATTCTCCAAGCAGCCTGGGAATTCCTAAAGTTATTCCAGTAACTACCACTATGATTTGAAAGCTTTCTCTCATCCCCTTGTTTTGGTATTTATTTCTCCTTTGTGCTCTACACATTTTACTTTGCATTATAGTTTTGTGCCCATTTTTCTTTCCCTGAGTGCTCAATATCTCAAGATACTGAAGACAGGGACCATGTCTTGGTCATCATTCCATTCCTCTACACCCGCACCAAGCACTGCGACTCGCTAATAGTATGACTCAATGAATTTATTATTTGATTGTAAGAGAAAAGAGGTTCAACATAAAGTCCTTTTCTAAGCCAGGCATGGTGGCGCACACCCGTAGTCGAAATAATCAGAAGGTTGAGGCAGAAGGATTGCTTGAGCCCAGGAATTCGAGTCCAGCACGGTCAACATAGTAAGACACTGTCTCAAGAAGAAGCAAAAAGAAGGAAGAAGAAGGAAGAAGGAGGGAGGGAGGGAGGGAGGGAGGAAAGGAAGGAAGGAAGGAAGGAAGGAAGGAAGGAAGGAGGGAGGGAGGGAGGGAGGGAGGGAGGGAGGGAGGGAGAGAGGGAAGTAGGGGAGGGGATAGGGAGGAGAATTTGTAAAACAAAACAAAAAAAGTGAATATTAGAAAAAAAATTTAAATCCTTTTTTATAGTGCAACGAATCAGTATGAACAAAATCTGAGAAATGATTAATGAAATTTAGCTTTGAAATTACCAATGAGGTTTAAGAAGTTCCAGGAAAATTATGAAAGCAGGTAACAGAATACAAAGAGTTAAGGAGCAAAGTTAAGAAAGAGATAATATAAGCTTATTCATTTAGACCAGGAGTGGAGCTCCTCATGCTGCTATCATATTTCACCCCAAAACTGAATGGAAACAGAAAACCTACAGAGGACATACATGTAACTATGAAAATGAAGAACAGATGCATTTAAAAAGAACTATCAGTCTAGAAACTGACTTAAGAGAAAAAGCTGATTGAGTTAGACACCAAGAAGTACAAAACAAAGTCAATATTATAGTAGGAGCCACAACAGTAACTACAAGTAAATATCTAAAATGTATTGAGCACTAGCAAGTGCTGGCACTGGTTAAGGCTTTTTTCATAGTATCTCATTTAATCCTCCTAACAGTCCTATGAGGTACTCATCATTATCATGCTCAGTTATAAACAAGGTAACTAGTGTTAAGATCACAGAACTGGTAAATGACTGTTGACCTTTTTGCTAGAATGTGGTAAGGGCGCCATCATTTTTTATCGCAGGTCAGTAATTCAAGAATGGAAAGGCTGGACACAATTAGCAGAAAGGTCCACTGGGACTGGACCCGCTAGAGCTGTAGACCTGCCTCTGGGACACTGACCTGCACAAGCTGCCTGACCAAATTCACTCCTTAATGTCCACAATAGGAACTGGTAAGGCAGGGAGAGGGGACAGCAGTCCTAAGCACCAGGAGCCAGAAGTGAGAGTAGCGCAAGTGGAGCACTCAAAGGCAGAATTGGTCATTAATGGCCACCACCACTGCGGGTATGTGAGCCCTACCAAACTCTGCAGGGGAATGGGGTCTTCCAGAACAGGCTCAGAATTACTACCTATTCATACCAATATAGCCTTCGTCCTACACATCTAGGAGAACATTGCTTGAGAAACCCAGGTTTATATGAGTTATTTTGCAATTAGTGGCAAAAAAAAAAAAAAAGAGTGATAGAAACTCACAAATAGCAAAGTGAATCATTTGATATTTTGTAACACTTTATCACATACATCAAGGGGTTTGATTTCCTAACCTCCATTTTATTTCTGAAAGTAACAAGTGATACATTAATTTTTTATTGATTTGAAAATTTTACATCCTATTTTGGATAATTTGTTACATCCTGTGGTAAGTAAACTAGGACAGAGAATCACAGGCATACAACATTGTGCTGCAAGAAGCAATAGTTACTTGTTCTCCAGTGCCTCTAAGAAAAGGGTGAAAGCAATGTGCCAGGACTAGAAGGGAGCTGCTTTCAATTAAATGCAAGGTGAAAATAATGTCATTTCACAATCACAGCTGGGCTTCCTGCCTAGAGGGGATGCTTTGCTTAAATTACTTAAAATCTCCAGTAAGTAAATTGATTTGAAAGGATTGACATTGCCTGTCTAGCTGCCATGTTTTAATCTTCTGGGTGACTAGTCAATACTAAAAAGAGATTTCCATAAAGCCAAGTATCAGTAGCATTCACTTATGAACACCAAGTTTTTAATGAAATGCAACATATATTATCGGCTGGGCGCAGTAGCTCATGCCTGTAATCCCAGCACTTTGGGAGGCCAAGGCAGGCAGATCACCTGAGGTCAGGAGTTCAAGACCAGCCTGGCCAACATAGTGCAACATCGTCTCTACTAAAAATAAAAAAATTAGCCAGGTGTGGTGGCAGGTGCCTGTAATCCCAACTACTCAGGAGGCTGAAGCCCGAGAATCACTTCAACCTGGAAGGTGGAGGTTGCAGTGAGCCAAGATCATGCCACTGCACTCCAGCCCTGGTGACAGAGGAAGACTCCTATCTTAAAAAAAAAAAAAAAAAAAAGAAAGAAAAAAGAAAAAAGCAACATATATTACGGAAATAATTAATAACTGCAACAAATAAGTGTAATCCACTAAAAAAGATACTGTCTTAATGTCTACATATTTTTATATCTTTTGTTTTTGCAGGTGTTACAGACAGAAGAAAACATGTTAAAATGGACCTTATATTTTATTTCTAGGTCATGTTTATTTCTAGAAAGTTAGTTGGGTATGAACCAATGGCCAGGTGGGCATGAACCAATGAACCACGTTCAAGACATGATAGGGGAAAATCTCTTGCCTGTGACCACTACTATACAACTACATTTCCCCTGCTAGATCCAACCTGCTCATCACTACACTTATAAATATCATTTCAGTTTTCTCTTTGGACTGAGCAATAATAAATCTTTGTTTCATCTTAGCAGCTGACCATATTTCATGCAAACTTTGAATTTAGGTTCTCTTTAGCCCCAACAGTAACGTGTTGTTTGTCTTATCTTTTTCAAATATCTTATTATTTTTCATCACATTTATTCTCTTGGTTAAAACTGAAAACATTCATTCAAGAATCACAGTTCCTTCAACTCTCCTTTAAAAGCTACCAGAAATTGTTACATTATTTTCTATAGATAAGCAATTAAAAAACAGTGTACAAAACATTTATAGGAATACTTTTTAAAAAAATTTTTATTATACTTTAAGTTCTGGGATACATGTGCAGAACGTGCAGGTTTGTTACATAGGTATACCTATATGCATCGTGGTGGTTTGCTGCACCCATCAACGTGTTATCTAGGTTTTAAGCCTCGCATGCATTAGGTATTTGTCCTAATGCTCTCCCTCCCCTTGCCCCCCACCCTTCCACAGGCTCCGATGTGTGATGTTCCCCTCCCTGTGTCCATAGAATTTTTTTTTTTTTTTTTTTTTGAGACGGAGTCTCACTCAGTCGCCCAGGCTGGAGTGCAGTGGTGCAATCTCAGCTCACTGCAAGCTCCGCCTCCCGGGTTCACGCCATTCTCCGGCCTCAGCCTCTGGAGTAGCTGGGACTACAGGCGCCCGCCACTACACCCAGCTAATTTTTTTGTATTTTTAGTAGAGATAGCGTTTCACCGTGTTAGCCAGGATGGTCTCAATCTCCTGACCTCATGATCTGCCCGCCTCGGCCTCCCAAAGTGCTGGGATTACAGGCGTGAGCCACCGCGCCCGGCCGTCCATGGAATATTTCTATAGCCTAAACTAAGTCTGCATATCTTTGCTCTAACTTAATTGATGTTATGTTGCCATGACTTCTGTGCTTTCCCTCTAAGAACAGAATTTGCTTGTTCAAATAATGTAAGAGAAAGAAAAAGTTTTCTCTTAGGATAATAACTTTAATTGATTAGATTTGCTATAAGATTTTTAAGATTCCATTTCAGATTTTTATTGAATGATAATGCATATACAACTTCCAGTTTGGGGAAAGAACGATTGGGCAGCAAATTTCTAATATTTCAAAATTGTAATTTAGCTTCTCATGCTTCATCTCTCAAATGTAAGGGTACAATTTAAAATACTTTCCTTAAAAAGCCTTATGAAAATGGCCAAACATTATATTTCTGCAACATAAATAAGCTAAGACAAAAATTCCTCTCTAAACCACGCCAACTCTGAGCCTGAACTGAAAAAAGTATAATTTGTTTTATTTTGCTTTAAATACAAGATACCAATGATAGAAAATAGAAATTCTGCACAAACATACACACGCTCCCCAACCCAAGCCCCAGGGAAAAGTACAAACTAGATCCCACTAGTTCTTATTATGTAACACTATACAAATCTGAATCAATTGAGTGGAGCAGGTGTAATAAATTGCAAAACACCCCAAGAGCATTATTTTATTAGCTCTATTAGGAACGTTCAATAAACAGGGTCTATCAAATAAATGAAAAAACCCAATTTGTAGGGAAGTAAATTTCATTCTCATTCCCAAGACAGAGTCCAGAAACTGGAAAAGCTTAACAAAGAGAACTGTAAGCATTCTACTATTACCTGTCACTAATAAAATAATACTTTAGAATGGTATTAACAACTGACCAAAACAAGACAAAACTCTAAATCTAGGTCACACAATAACTCCAGATATGAGCAGCTTATGTGTAAAAACTACTTCCTTATTTAAGACGATTTTATACTTCAGAGTGTTTCTGTTTGTGCTGTTTTTAAATGTTAATTTTTTTAAATAATAAAACAAATAGTCCTTCCTCACTGACCTAAGAGATGCCTTTAAAGTCCTTTAACGCTCTACAACCTTGCTCAAAATTTCTGAAAGACTGATACTTAACCACAGTCTTTTATTAGATGCGGAGGTCAACTTAAGAACCAAAGTCGCAGCACTTTGGGAGGCCGAGGCGGGCGGATCACGAAGTCAGGAGTTTGAGACCACCCTGGCCAATATGGTGAAACCCTGTCTCTACTAAAAATACAAAAATTAGCCAGGTATGGTGGCATGCACCTGTAGTCCCAGCTACTCAGGAGGCTGAGGCAGAAGAATCGCTTGAACCCAGGAGGCGGAGTTTACAGTGAGCCGAGATGGCACCACTGAACTCCAGTGCACTCCTACAGAGTGAGACTCCGTCTCCAAAAAAAAAAAAAAAAGAAAAAAAAGAACCAAAGTTAGGGTTCTCCACAGAGTATAAGTGTAACCAGTGCACTTTCAGTTAATTCAGAATGGAAAAAAATGCTTTCTCAGATAAATGTTGCCTTACTTTGCTGAGAGATTTGGTAACTGCAATTAAACAGTGATACCACAGCCACAGCAACATAAAATACTGCTACAGCTAACTAACTGGGCCTGTCAGTTCCTTATTTTAGCACAGTAGGTAGTATAGGAATGCCTGCTAGTTTTAAATGATGGGTAATGGTAACACATCAGCAACTGTCTTGCCCCACTGTAACAAGAAAAATGAGTTTCATTACAAGTTCTCTCTTCTGGAAAATCCAAAGCCCTTTACAGATATCTTTACAACAACATCTCAAATACAATAATGATGTTGAGAGATATTATTCCACATTTACAACAAACAGACAGTAGTGTGGTTTCAAACAATCCAATAACCCATTATCTTGCTTGGTGCAGTTTTAGAAAGAATATCGAGGATAAAAAAGATTCTATTATATAGTTTAATGTGTCATTTCACTGTGAGAGCCAAGCCTATAGAATATAGAATATAGCCTTCTGAGGAAAAGACCTACTATAATGCCTCAGATTTAAATAGTATTTTACAGCCTACAAAGCACTTATTCATTTTACAGTCTCATATGAAGATTGCATTCTAGTCAAGGGACCAAGTCTATCATCAAGCTGTAAGGCCAAAGTCAGTAACTATCTCAACCACACAAATATTCATAGAATGCCCAGACATCCAAATAGGAAGAGAGAAAGTCAACTACCCCTGTTTGCAGACGACATGATCCTATATCTAGAAAACCCCAGAGTCACATAATTAAAGAGCTTCTGCACAGCAAAAGAAACTATCATCAGAGTGAACAGGCAACCTACAGAATGGGAGAAAATGTTTGCAATCTACCCATCTGCCCAAGTCTAATATCCAGAATCTACAAGGAACTTAAACAAATTTACAAGAAAAAATCAAACAGCCCCATTAAAAAGTAGGCAAAGGATATGAACAGACACTTCTCAAAAGAAGACATTTATGTGGCCAACAAACATAGAAAAAAGCTCACCATCACTGATCATTACAGAAATGCAAATCAAAACCACAATGAGATACCATCTCACACCAGTCAGAATGGTGATTATTAAAACGTCAGGAAACCATAGATGCTGGTGAGGCTGTGAAGAAACAGGAACGCCTTTACACTGTTGGTGGGATGTAAATTAGTTCAACCTTTGTGGAAGACAGTGTGGCGATTCCTCAAGGATCTAGAACTAGAAATAATACCATTTAACCAAGCAATCCCATTACTAGGTATATACCCAAAGAATATAAGTCATCCTACTATAAAGACACATGTACACATATGTTTATTGCAGCACCATGTACAATAGCAAAGACATGGAACCAACCCAAATGCCCATCAATGATAGACTGGATAAAGAAAATGTGGTACACGTACACCATGGAATACTATACAGTCATAAAAAAGGAATGAGATCATCTCCTTTGCAGGGACATGGATGAAGCTGTAAGCCACCATCCTCAGCAAACTAACACAGGAACAGAAAACCAAACACTGCATGTTCTCACTCATAAGTCAGAGTTGAACAATGAGAACACATGGACACAGGGAGAGGAACACCACACACCAGGGCCAGTCAGGGGGTGGGGGGGTGAGGGGAGGGAGAACATTAGAAGAAATAGCTAATGCATGCAGGGGTTAAAACCTAGATGACGGGTTGATAGGTGCAGCAAACCACCATGGCACACGTATACCTACATAACAAACCTACACATTCTGCACTTGTATCCCAGAACTTAAAGTAAAATTAAAAAAAAAAAAGAAAGAAAACCCCATAGTCTCAGCCCAAAAGCTCCTTAAGCTAATAAACAACTTTAGCAAAGTCTCAGGATATAAAATCAATGTGCAAAAATCACTAACATTCCTATACACCAACAACAGTCAGGCCAAGAGCCAAACCAGGAATGCAGACCTATTCACAATTGCCCCCCACCACACACACACACACACACACACACACACACACACACACGTAGGAATACAGCTAACCATGGAGGTGAAGGATCACTACACGAAGAACTATAAAACACTGCTCAAAGAGATCAGAGATGACACAAGCAAATGGAAAAACATCCCATGCTCACGGATAGGAAGAATCAATATCATTAAAATGCCCATACTGCCCAAAGCAATTTACAATTTCAATGATATTCCTATTAAACTACCACTGACATTCATCACAGAATTAGAAAAAACTGTTTCAAAATTCATATGGAACCAAAAAATAGCCCAAATAGCCAAAGCAATCCTAAGCAAAAGAACAAAGCTGGAGGCATCATGCTACTCGCTACTCATCTTCAAACTACACTACAGGGCTACAGTAACCAAAACAGCATGATACTGGTACAAAAACAGACACATAGACCAATGGAACAGAACAGAGAACCCAGAAATAATGCTGCACACCTACAACTATCTGATCTTCGACAAATCTGACAAAACAAGCAATGGGAGAAGGATTGCCTATTCAATAAATGGTGCTGGGATATCTGGCTAGCCATATGCAAAAGATTGAAAGTGGACCCCTTCTTTACACCATATACAACTGAAGATGGATTAGAGACTTAAATGTAAAACCAAAAACTATAAAAACCCTGCAACACAACCTACATAATACCATTCAGGACACAGGAATGGGCAAAGATTTCATGATGAAGACACCAAAAGCAACTACAATAAAAGCAAAAATTGACAAATAAAATCTAAACTAAAGAGCCTCTGCACAGCAACAGAAACTATCAACAGAGTCAACAGAAAACCTACAGAATGGAGACAATTTTTGGAAACTTTGCATCTGACAAAGATCTAATATCCAGCATCAATAAGGAACTTAAACAAATGTACAAGTTAAGTACCTCATATTATCTGTATGAATGGAGTTCAGGGTTCTACCAATGTGGAAAAAAATTGTCTGTGAGCAATGACACAGTAGTACAAGAAAGATTTGGTTGGGAAATTTTTCAGAATAATATTGGCAGGCAAAATGAAACTTAACAGAATTGTAACTCGAAGTGATTAGAAATACTTCAGCACAATTTTATGTGTCTGCAGTGGCTCACGCCTAGAATTCCAGCACTCTGGGAGGCCGAGGGGGACAGATCACTAGAGGCCTGAAGTTTGAGACCAGTCTGGACAAGATGGCGAACTCTGTCTCTACTAAAAATACAAAACTTAGCCGGACATGATGGCATGCACCTGTAATCCCAGCTACTTGGGAGGGTGAGGCATGAGAATCACCTGAACCCAGGAGGCAGAGGTTGCAGTCAGCTGAGATCCCGTCCCTGCACTCCAGCCTGGGCAACAGAGCGAGACTCTGTCTTAAAAACAAAAAAACAAAACAAAAAAAAAAGAATCCCAGCGTATTTGGAGGGTGGTGATCTAGAAAAAGAGAGGTGGAAGTTCAGATTTGAGGGGTAAGAAAGAGCCATAGCATCAAACTTTGTAAATGAAGGTAATACACTTAGATTGTATTTTCAATGCAATGGAAGCCACTGCAGGAAGTCATACAAAATCTGGACTTGTATTCACTAAGTATTAAGAGTCCAAACTGTAAAAAACATGTATACTCATTAAGTCCATGTATTATCTTGGTGCTACACTTTGCACTCAATGAAATTCATCGTAAGACACAGAATCCCAGAGCTAGAAGGAAACTTAATGAATGTAAAGCCATTATTTTACATATACAAAAACTCAAGCTCAGAGAAAAATGCATCATTCGGATTGCTTTATTAATGGCTGAGAAAAATATCTCCAAAAATAATTAAGGGCAACTAAGATGTCTGGGATACATTCTAAACTCAAAGCTGACATTAATCAAAAAATTGTCCTTTTATATATTCATAAACTGAACCACCATGCTTTAGATGCATATGGCCCATCATAGAATATATAAGATCTTGTAACAGCCTCTGACCACAATCTAAAGCTGCAAACTTAGATGGGGCACATACTCAGTAATGCATTTGATCAATTGTATTGTTCCAATCCCAGCTCACTAAATACACCGTAACTTGGATATTCATTCATCCAGTGAATGATAAGGACCTACTTTGTACAAGGAATTAACACTGGAAGATGAAGAACTAGAATCTAGAAGAAGTAATAAAACATACATATACAAAAAAAGATGCATATATACACAAACACTGACCCACATATATCACACACATATACCATAATTCATATAAGATAAAGTAACTGCAGGCATGCCATAAACAGCAAAATAACTAGAATTAGAACTGAAGCTTTAAGATGTGACTGAATTGTTGTAATTCCTTGTAAAACTTGAACGGATAAAGAGCTGTTTCTTTTGATGAGCAAAGAAAGTGTTTTGAGATAGAATCTACTCCTGGTGAAGATGCTGTGAACATTGCTGAAATGACAACAAAGGATTTAGAATATTACATAAACTTCATTGATAAAGCCGTGGCAGGGTGATAAAATTGACTCCAATTCTGAAAGTCCTACTGTGGGTAAAATGCTATCAGACAGCATCACATGATACAGAGAAATCTTTCTCTGGAAAGGAAAACCAATCCATGTGGCAAACTTTACGGTTGTCTTATTTGAAGAAATTGCCACAGCTACCCCAACCTTTAACAACCAGCACCCTGATCAGTCAGCAGCCATAAACATCAAGGCAAGACTCTCTACCAGCAAAAAGATTATGACTTCCTGAGGCTCAGATAGCATTTTTTTTTTTAGCAATAAAGGATTTTTAAATTAAGGTATATACATTGGTCTTTTAGATATAATGCTACTGCACTCTTAATATAATACAATATAGTGTGACTATAACTTTTATATGCACTGGGAAACCAAAAATTTCATGGGACTCACTTTATTGCAGTGGCCGGGAACCAAACTTGCAATATCTCCAAGGTAAGCCTGTCTTTTCTGCAGCTGAAAGGATCAGAAGGCAGCATGCCAGCTGGTCCTTGATAGATGGGTGGGATTTACAGATAGGGAAGAACATTTTAGACAACAGGCACAACAGGGGCAAAAGACCTATGTAAACTGCAACCAGACCCTCTAGAAGGGAAATCCAATTTTATGTAAATTTTAAGTAAATTAAAATCTAAATGTTAAGTAAATTTAGAGCAAAAATTCTCAACATGAAAAAATGCCAAAACTGAGCTGCAGCCTAAGTTCTATATCACGTCAACAATATAAGAGTTTTACATCTGTATTCATGAGCTTAATTAACACAAAAAAAAGTCTTCTAAATAACTTGACCAGGCACGGTGGCTCACACCTGGAATCCCAGCACTTTGGGAGGTGGAGGCAGTAGGACTGCTTGAGCCCAGGAGTTCAAGAACACAGGGGACCCTGTCTCTACAAAAAAAAAAAAAAAAAAAAAAAATTAGCCACGCACTGTGGTGTGCACCTGTAGTCTCAGCTACTAAGACTGAGGTGGCAGGCTGAGACAGGAGGATTGCTTGAGCCTGCAGGTTGAGGCTGCAGTGAGCTGTGACTGCACCACTGCACTCCAGCCTGGGTGACAGAGTGAAACCTTGTCTCAAACATAAGTAAATAAATAACTTTAAGCCTAGATCAGGCTATTACATTTGTTTTCCAAAAGGAATGAAAACGGATTTCAAAGATCTTTGAAAACTTGCTTTTCAGCAAATAGAAAAAGAATTGGAAAATCACTTATGCTGCTTTTTGCAAAAACAGCAAAGTTGCCCGTTTTAGGAAAAGGTGTTTAAATTCAGCAGCAAAAAACTTTATAACATAGGGTAGATGAGAAAGTGCCATCAACACCACTGTATAAGTTATGGTACTATTTTTTAAGACTCACCTATTTTAATAATATCCTGCATGACTGTGCCAATCTACAATTAATTTTCTGCCCTTTGGAAAAGTATTGCTTTATGATATTAATTCACTTGAAAACTGACAAGTAATATTATTTGGGGTCTTTTAAAAACCTTGTTAAAATTTCATTCTATTTTCAGTAAATCATAAAACTATTTTAACACTATTGTATCCAAATCAAGAGCAGAGCCTCAAAAATCAGTTACCAGCAGCTGGGCATGGTGGCACACACCTGTAGTACTCGCTACTAGGGAGGCTGAGGTGGGAGGATCCCTTAAGCCCAGGAGTTCAAGCCCAACCTAGGTAACATACTAAGACTCTCTTAAAAAACAAACAAAAAAAAAAACTATTATCAAAGCTAGCCACTATGTACTATTCCTATTATGTTCGTTTTCTCCCCTTTCTTTTTTAAAATTCATTTTCATTACAAGATGTGATTGCCAATGTTAAGGTTTCTCTGTATGGTCTAAGAGAATACTGTGGAATTCTTTGAACTATATCCCTACCCTAAATGGCACTGGCTCAATGCAACGAAGGTCACACGAGCCAAGCTGGTGGGAGTAGGGAAGTAGTATACCTCAAAAACAGCATTCAAAGCATTTTTACTTGGAAAACTACACGATGTAAGAGCTAAAAACGGTATGGTTGTTCATCAAAGTCCTTTTCTTTTATTATTTTAAATTAAATTCCACGATTAGCTCTTCTCTGAATCTGACCTGCACTTTCACAACTTTGTCCCTTTGTTTGGGAGGTCCACCTCTGAGTCCTCAATCATGGAATTCTCCTCATCCTCTTAGGCTCAATTCAAGAGAAGCTCTCACAGCCTTGCCCAGCCCCATCTTGCATATGGGAAGTTGTATTCTTGTAGTAAACTCCTTATTTACCCTGGGTTTTACAAACTCATTCATCTTTCTTATCATAGCACCTGTTATAGTACATTAGGAGGCATCTAAATTAAAAAAAAATCGAGTTAAGCTCATTTACCATAAAATATGATCAAATGAGGATTAAAATTGTCACAGATGGTCAAGATATTGAGAAGATACCAAGCAGATATCCAAGAATGACTCCAGAACACTTTTAGCAGATTCCATCCCCCTACAGGTACAGAGCTGGGCCTATGGAAGCCCTGGCTCCTGGCTGCCTGATTGTGATGGTGTCTTTGGCTTCCTTGAGGAGGAAGGGAGGCCTGCGCCATCTGCAACTCCCTAAAAGCAGCTCCAGATTCAGTAACCTCTCCAGGAACACACTTGCCTTCATCACAGGAAGAGTAAGCACCACAGGGCTGAAGAACAGCAAAGTTAGTCCCGTTAGAACTCTTTTAGACCTCCCTGCAAGGACAAGTTAGACCAGGCTAGCTCCTGCCTCCCCTCTCAGGGGTGCTGGCTAATGACTTCTTTCTCCCTGGGCCTTCCTTGCCAATAACTTCAGTACAGAAACTTTTTCCCAAAGGGGAGGGGAATTGGCAAGGAAAGGAGGGAATTAAGTTGACAACAACCTTTTGGCAGTTTTCCTACTATAACTTCTCACTGTTACTTAAAAGGGAAGAAAATAGGCCTCTAATGTCTGCAACTGTTTTTTGAAAAACCTAAACTGTTCTAGGGTGGTTTGTGGCTATAATTTCATGTCTCAAAATTAATGCCAAAGTCCTCCTCCCACCCCAGATCCTGCTACCCTCTCATAAAAACAGCAGAGAGGTGAGTGCTCTCTGTGTGCTTCCCCTTTTATCTTTCTTTATGACTGAAATGAGCATGAAACCAAACTGAAAAGTCCAGCATCATCAGGTCTTCTATCATGTGTCTAGCAAGGTACAGCCCGGATGGCACGTTCATCTTCATATTTTCGCTATCTCTTAGAACTGCCCCTACACAAATTAACAAAGGCATCTCTGAGAAATGCTAGATTTAAATTGCTAGAAGACCTAACAATGCCCTTCCTTAAGAAGTACACATTTTCCCAGTAGATATTTTGCTTCTTGCCTGATCTGCACAGAGCACTGGATGTGACACTTACACATATATACATGGGTAATTATTTAACCTGATGAAAATGTGATATACAAATGTATATCATGAAATAAAATTTTAAGTGTGTAATAAGGAGAAACATTAATATTTTAAAAACTAGTGTGTTTGAAAATCCCAAGTGCAAAAGTGTTGAAAGGTGGGACCTGTGAGTGGTAATTAGGTCATGAAGGCTCTGCCTTCAAGAATGAATTAATTTTGTTATTGAGGGAGTAGGTTTGTTATAAAAGTGAAAGTGGGCCCCCTCTTGTTTTCTCATGTTCTCTTACCCTTCCACCTTCCACCAAGGGATGACAGCAAGAAGGACCTCCCCACATGCCAGTCCCTTGATCTCAAGACTTCCCTGACTCCTGAACTACAAGAAATAAAATGTGTTCTTTAAAAATTACCCAATCTGTGGTATTCTGTTACAGCAGCACAAAACAGACTAACACTGTTACCAACAAATACGTAATTCCATTAAAACATATATTCAAACAACTTCTTAAAGGTATAGAACTTTGAGACCAGAAGGTATCCTGGAGACATACTTGTCTAAAGCGAAGAAGACAATATTGCGACAAGCAGCCATCCAAAAAGATGAAAAGCGAGAAAGCCATGGTCTTTCCGATGACAGACTCAAAAGGGCTGAGCAGCACCTATTCAAATGGTGAGACAATTCTAGAGTGCTGAATCCTATCCGCCTCCCAGGGACACGATCCCGAGGGATACTACAAAACAAATGTAAATATGAACATGAGTTCAAGTTAGTAATCAAAATACTTAAGTTAGTATCTGAAAGGTACAAGTTTCCTAACAAAATGAGTACATTATCTCAAGCGTTTTAAAAAGCGTTTTAATGCAGCTAAACACCTGAGGAAAATGCATTTCCAGACTTGCACTCCCAGAGTATGGAGATTAACAAGGGAAGATATATATGTGTACATATGTATATATCTTCAGGACTGTAAGAATTTCCCAGTACTGTGAAATTAAAATTTAAAACAAAAACAAAAACACTCTACCTTGAAATTTCCAGATTTAAAGGACTGTAACCCTTAGCTCGAAATTTACTTTGTGTTTCGGAACTCTCTGGAGTGTTAAGGCTCGTGTGTTTTCTTTGCGGGTGTTTTTTTAACGACTCAGTGGGCTGGCTCCAAGTTTGTGAAGATCCTGTTAATTACCTCCTGCATTTACCACCGACCAAGGATGGGAGGCACGCGGCACTTGCTGAGCATATGTAGCTTTACAGGGAAGGGAGACGAGCAAAGATCACTGAAAACTGCAACCGAAACCCTCAGAAATTCCAGCTCTCCCCTCTTCCCTCCGGTCCCTTCGACAATCCATTTGGTGACCTGACACGTCATCCATACACTCCCAAGAGTGCCTTCGGGAACCCCTCTCCCCACTACCCAACCAGAGAGACAGCCCCACGCCCGGCAAGACGCAACTCCGGGCCACGGAGGGCGCCGCCCGGACAGCCCGGCCGGGTCAGGGGGCTTCGCCGCCGAGCACCCTCCGGCAGCCGCCCTCGGGCCTCCGCGGCCGGGCGGGAGGGCGCCTCCCCGACCACACTTCGGCCGCTTGGCACCCACAGCCGGGAGGGCGTGAGGAAGGACTCGGTCTAACTCCGGGGAACCCTCGGAGTTCCGGCGCAGACACCCGAGGGGGTGTCCTGGGAACTCCTTCGCCCGCGACACCCGTTCTTCTCCGTCTCCCGACCACCAGCGACGCAGCAGGGCGGCTGCCGGCCCGGCCCGGCCCGCCTTGCGGGCTGTGCGCGGCGCAGCTCTTCCTCCGCGGGGCCGTGAAGGCCACCGGCCGCCCCCGCGCGCCCAGCTGCCCGGCCCCGCCGCCTAAGCCGCCGCGTTGCTGGCGGGTAGCCGCGGGCCTCCGGTGCGCGGGCCCCGGCGCGTCCCCGAGCGCGCGCCTGGCCGCGGCCCCGCGCGAGTTGCACTAACTTTCCGGGGCGGGGGAGGGGTGGGCGCCGCGGGCCCGGCTCCCAGGCCTTACCTGTGCTCAAGTTGTCGTTGATTTTCAAAGGCACCCGCAGGATGTAGACCAGGAATAGCACGATGAAGAACCACACGGTCCACAGATACGTCCAAGACCAAACTATGCAGGACTTGAGCTGCTCCAGAAAGCCCGTGGCCGCTTCAGCCATGTTTCAGCGCTCCTCTCTGCTGCCGCGGCTCTTGGTGTCTGCCGGGATGATTCACCGGCCCGGAGGCGCAGCTCGCGCCGCCGCCGCCGCCGCGGCCCGGGCGCCCCCGGAGCCCGCCCGCCGCCGGGGACGCGGGCTCGGCGGGAAATCGCGCGGGCCGCGGGCGCGCCGGCTTTTCCTTCTCCAGCCTTATTGCTAACTCTCTAAAGGTCCCTACAAGTGGCTTTCGTGGAGCGATCACGTGGCCCCTGCCCCCTCGCGTTCTGGGTCCATTTATATTTATTATGCTAATATTTAGAAAGAGAAGGCCAAGTGGCGCGCCGAAGGAAACGCCTCAGGCAGTTACAACCCGCATAAGTTGAGCGTTTACCACACGCCAGGCGCTGCTCCACGATCCGTACAATCTCATTTAACCCCTGCAACAATTCCCCACTACGATCCTCTTTCTATAGGTAGGGAAACTGAGGCTCACAGCAGCTGCGTAGTTTACCTTAAGGTGGAACCAAAATTCAATTGCAGTGGTGTATTCTGGGGTCCGAGGTCTTAAACCCTACTCTGCTCCCTTATCAGGATTCAGGCTCAGGGAATGAATAAACCCGGGACAGCTAGGAGAAGGGAGGAGGTGCGCTCCTGTCGCCGGCTAGTAGGCCTGAAGATAAATCACTCTATTCAGCAAGATTTGGGTGGCAGATGCTATTTACCTTTGTTCTGTCTCTTTGAAGCAGCGCAGGGATTTTCCAGAGAAATCTTGACAGATGAATGTTTATCCTCCAGGTTTTTTGGTGATCAGAGGTCAAACTATTCTCAGCCTGTTTTTAATATAAACAATTCTCTGGGATAATTTTGACTGTGAAACGGCCACCTCTAACAGAAAGTCCATTTTAAACATTGTTTTGTTGTTTTTGTTTTGTTTTGACTGTGCTGAATAAAATGTTTCTTTTATTCTAAAATGTTTTCTCAGCTGAAATTTTCAAGTCTGTTTCTGTCCGTAAGTGATTTGACTTTCTATGTATTAGATGGTAATGAGGAAATTGCAGGTTTTCCAGTCTACATCTATTTTTAAAATTCTGAGCATAAAGAATATTTTATTATAAATTGTTTTGCTTACTTGTATAATAGTTTCCTTCATAATTAAATAAGCTCCTTTAACTTTTCACATATAGGGCCTATTACGGCATACATAATGGATGGAACTACTCTTAAATTTTTACTAATTCCAGCCTCTCTCGGCTACTGTTTCTTCCTCACATTTGATCTACTACAGTGAGATCCAGGCCAGAATAAGTGAAATTGGCACACATAGACTTTCTTTATAGTTATTTATGGCAGCACATGACCAAATGATTTTTGTGTCTAACACTGATACATGGAATCTCAGTAAAATAAAACAATATTGTCACCAGTAAAGGATCGTGACTGCAGGTTGTCCAGGTTCTTGGCGTTTTGAACAAAGAATTGGACAAAACACCCAGAGAAGCGACAAAAGAACGAAAGCAGGGATTTATTGAAAACGAAAGTACACTCTACATTGTGGGAGCGGGCGGAGCAGCGGCTCAAAGGCCGAATACAGAATCTTCTTGGGTCCAAATACCCCCAAGAAGTTTCCCTTTGGCAACTCATGCTCATCTCACGTAAATGAAGTGGTAGCCCGCAATCAGTCTGACTGGTTGCAGAAAGCAGCCAACCAGAGGCTGAAATGAAGATACAAAGGTAACACTCCTGTGCAAACATCTGATTGGTTGCAAAAAACAACCAATCAGAGGCTGGGATGTACTTAATGAAGTTATGCTTCTATGCAAACGAAGACTCGCCCACAGTCTGATTAGTTGTGGACAACAACCATTCAGAGGCTGGAGTGAAGTTACAAAGTTGCAAATGAAGATTGGACCCGCAGTCAGTCTGATTGGTTACAGACAGCCAATTTCCCATCTACTAGGCAGAAAAGGTCAAAGGTAGCCTCTGGTCCTTTTGTTACTTAGGCGTGGAAAGTTAGGGTTTTCCTTTCAATGTAGTTCAAGGAAGTCCTTAGTTTCCCTGCCTCCAGAACCTAGTCTCCTGCCTCAACATGAGTACATGAACCACCTATTTTATGTGATGATTAAATAACCCACCAGATTCTCTGCGAGTCACTGAATTAGGATATTGACTACTTAATTTAAATGAACATCCGGAGGCCTGGCTTTTTGCTGTCAATGAACTTCAATGAATGGACATGAATATGACTCCGCTAAGTCACAATCTTCTAATTTTCTACTAGGCGCTCCTGGGAAGTCAGCCCTATATCATTGCCTCTCCTGGTGTGCATCCTGGCATGTGGTGGGGACTGTACACATGCCTTTGTGCTTCAAAACACTTCAAAACAGAAGTGAGTAAGCATAATCTCTTGCAAACTGTGGCTGCTTCAGTATAGCTGGAGTGCAGCCTCTGCAGAGTGGTGTGGATACAGACAAAGCTAAAGATACAGGCCTGAGTCATTTTGAAGGGCCTACTAGAAACGCTAAGGTGTTCATAGTTATGGGGCATTGCACACACCAATCCAAATGACCAACTCAGAGATTTATTTAAGTGGAGATTTAAGAAATATTAAGGAAGTAGATGGCTCACGCCTGTAATCCCAAAACTTTGGGAGGCCGAGGTGGGAGAATCACTTGAGTCTAGGAGTTTGAGAACAGCACAGGCAACACAAGGAGACCTTGTCTGTACAAAAAGATTTTAAAAATTAGCTGGGTGTGGTGGTGTGTGCCTGTACTACCAGCTACTCAGGAGGCTGAGGTTGGAGGATCACTGGAGCCTGAGAGTTTGAGGCTTTAGTGAGCTGTTATTGTGCCAGTCACTCCAGGGTGAGACCTTGTCGAAAGAAAGAGAGAAAGAGAGAGGAAGGAAGGGAGGGAGGGAGGAGGGAGGAGGGAGGAAGGAAGGAAGGAAGGAAGGAAGGAAGGAAGGAAGGAAGGAAAAGGGGAAGGGAAGGGGAGCGAGAGAAAGGAAAGATAGAGAAAGAAAAGAAAGGAAGAAAGAAGAAAGAAGGAAGGAGAGAGAGAAAGAAGAAAAAGAAAGGAAAGAAGGAGGAAGAGAAAAAGGGGAAGGGGAGAGAAAGGAAGGGGAAAGAAAGAAAGAAAGGGAGAGAAAGAAAGAAGAAAGAGAAAAGGAAGGAAGAAAGAAAGAAAGAGGGAGAGGGGGAAGGGAAGGAGGGAGGGAGGCGGGGAGAAGGGGAAGAAGGGAAGAAAGAGGCAGAGAGAGAAAAATAAAGGGAAGGAAGGAGTGAAGGAAGGAGAGAAGGAAGGGAGGAAGGAAGGGAGGGGAGGCAGAAGTGACAGGCCTTGGTGACTGATAAGACAGGCAGGGCAGGCCTGGCGCAGTGACTCACGCCTGTAATCCCAGCACTCCTTGGGAGGCTGAGGCAGGCAGATCACTTGAGGTCAGGAGTTTGAGACCAGCCTGGCCAATATGGTGAAACCCTGTCTCTACTAAAAATACAAAAATCAGCCGGGCATGGTGGCACGCACCTGTAGTCCCAGCTACTCGGGAGGCTGGGGTAGGAGAACTGCTTGAACCTAGGAGGTGGAGGTTGCAGTGAGCCGATATTGCACCATTGCACTCCAGCCTGGGTGTAGCAGTGAGATTCTGCCTCACACACACACACAAAAAAAAACAGGCAGAGCACGGATAAGGGGGGGGCTCTTGAGTGGGACCGTTAATGAAATAATGACACCCCAGATATGCCTAACTACCTCTTGATAATCACCCAGTGGAATGGCACACAATCACCAAGCTCATCACATGCAGAATGGAATGCATTACCTCTTCACCCTCATCTGTTCCTTTTAGAGTTCCATCAAGGAATGGGCACCATCCTTCCAGTTCCCTAATTCAGAAATCTGAGCATCATGTACCTCCTTTCCTCTCTATATTCCACTGTACATCAAGACTCAGGCCGCCACTTCTCTCAGCCTTTGGTGATAGCCTGATCATCATTCATAGAGAACAAGGCAGTGGGCTCCCTGCCTCTATTTGCACCACGGCAAGCACCACCACTGCCTCCTTCCATCCACTTTCCACACTTCTCTACCAGTTACCTTTTAAAGCACAAATCCGATAACTCGTTCCTTGCATAAAATTATTTAAGGCCCCACCCCTACTGCACTCCTACTTTTATCCCAGTGTCTAACTAAAGGATGGAATCTAGATGGTATTCAGGCCTTCTGCAAGGGCACTTCTGCCTACCTTAATAGCACCAGCATTTTGGCAAACATGCTATTCTCTTTCACACTTTTGGACCTGCTCCACACAACCTGCCTGTAATACACTTCTCTGTGCTCCACTTCCCTGACCAACATTCTTTCCTGCGTCAACTGCCTGATAACGGGTTATTTAGAGAACCACTTGAAATACCACCTCCTTGGTAACACCAGCTCCCTCCACCCCCTGAGCTCACGGTCTCTTCCCTGTGAGATGCAGCACCAGGAAGGTCATTAACAACCAGGTTTAGAGTAAACAGTGCTGGGCTGTATTTCTGATCCTGCCTTTCCCTAACTGGGTGCTCTTTGGCAAGTTATTAAGTTACTTCATCTGTACAATGGGTTACACTTATGCCTTTTACATATGGTTGTTGTGAAGATTGAGTGATATGCATACCAAAAATGCTGAGCAGAACACCTTGTCCATATCTTTCCTCTCTGTTATTAAATGGAGGCCTTTAAGGTTAAGTAATTTGTTATTGTTGTGGTTAATTTTAGTCCTCTGAATTTTAATCTAGTACAAATTGTGCTGCATTTGGCACATGGTACATGTTCATGAATATTGAGTGTTGTATAAAGGAATGAAAAATCAATTACATGAAAAGAAATTCCAAATCTTACATTTTACAAACACAGACACAAAGAATACTAAGATTTAACTCAGGGGCAAAAGTTAAGATTTGGCCACCAGCACGTGGTGAGCTTCCTTGAAAGTTTGTTTCTGGCCGGGCACGGTGGCTCACACCTGTAATCCCAGCACTTTGGGAGGCCGGGGCAGGCGGATCATGAAGTCAAGAGATTGAGACTATCCTGGCTAACACGGTGAAACCCCATCTCTACTAGAAATACAAAAAGTTAGCCTGGTGTGGTGGCACGCGCCTGTAGTCCCAGCTACTCAGGAGGCTGAAGCAGGAGAATTGCTTGAACCTGAGAGGCGGAGGTTGCAGCGAGCCGAGATCGCACCACTGCACTCCAGCCTGGGTGACAGAGCAAGACTGTGTCTCAAAAAAAAAAAAAAAGTTTGTTTCTAAAGGTGTAAGCACCTTTGGAATGGATAATAGTAGTGAAATGACCATTAACTTATAATAACTATGTCAAAAGCAATATGCTCCTAAATTCCTCTTATATCGGTTTATATATTTGGTTAAAGTATATATCTTAGTCTGATAAAATATCTGAGCTGAATAAGAAACCAGTATATCAGCGAAGAACTTTAAAAGTTCTTTAAAAGTATTTCTGTTTTGTTTCTTGTTTGTGATATTTGGAAGGGATATATGCTTATATTGGCTGTCATAGTCTTTAGTTTTATACTTTGTTATAAATTTAAGAATCTACTTTTGTAAACAATTTTCAGAGTTCATCTGAAATTTAAACACAAGAAATAACTGTTCTGACTTGTTGGTTTTTATTTAAAAAATCTCATCCATGTTCACTGGTTGGGTTTTTGAATTGGTCAATATTCTATACTCATGAATAACATCCTACATAACTGATTATCCTTATTTAGTGACTTACCTAGACCCGAATAAGTGCAAATCCAACATGTTTAGTTTAGAGATATAGTAAGAGCAGAAAAACAGGTTTGGAAGGGAATTTGCCATTTCTAACTTCTTCAAGTCAACACACTCTGTCATAAAATATTGAAGAGATGGACTTTCAAAGACCTGTATATAGTTGAAAAGATGATTTGGTTAGCAAAAAGCTTGGGGAGAAGTTCTCTAAGATATAATTCTGCATGTATAAGGCAGAATGCATTTCCGTAATTAACATACACTGCATGTACATCTTAATCTGACAGTGAGAGATTCACAATGACTAAGTTGAGACATTATGATACATTATTATCACATTTACCTTTGTTTCCCCATTCCTAACAAAGATATCTTAGTTTCCATATAAAGGCTTTCACAGACATGTCAACACTCAGTGACGTTCCTTAGCATCACTGATTTGTTTAAAATATCAAAATTATTGTAATAAGACCAGCTGTGTTGATATACGGAATAATTCTAAAAGCAAGAATACAAAATAAAATAATCAGGTGGGGCGTGGTGGCTCACTCCTGTAATCCCAGCACTTTGGGAGGCTGAGGCGGATGGATCACCTGAGGTCAGGAATAGGAGACCAGCCTGGCCAACATGGTGAAACCCTGTCTCTACTAAAAACACAAAAATTAGACAGGCGTGATGGCACATGCCTGTAAGCCCAGAAACTCCGGAGGCTGAGGCAGGAGAATCACTTGAATCTGGGAGGCGGAGGTTGCAGTGAGCCAAGATCATGCCACTGCACTCCAGCCTGGGCAACAGAGTGAGACTCTGTCTCCAAAATAATAATAATAATAATAATATAAAAAATAAAACAATCGGAGCCTTGTATAAAAAATCTGAAAGCAACCTAATGCTTTCTCCACCCTAAAACCCTGCCCCAGCCAATGAAAGATGTTTTCTTATTTTCAAAGAAAAAGAAAAAAGAAAATTTCTTTGGAAAGAAGTAGAGAAGTGAACATAGCCTCTCCCTTACACTGCTAAAATATCAGGAGACAAGACCAGAGGAAGATGGATGAGATTAAAAAAAAAATCTTAGAGACAACAGATAGATCAGATGTGTTCAACAAAAAGACCAGAAATTTATTTTAAGGAACCCTCTAAAGTTCGGCCAGCTCTCTTGCTTCTTAGGCTAACTAATCATGAAAGGTAACAATATTACCCACTTTCTTTAATTACTCTATTTATTCTTTACTCTGGTACTCACCCTCTTTACTCTTGGGAAAATACTCTAAGATGGGGCAGTTTGTCAGTTGCACTTTAAATAGTGTGGAAATGTAATGGTATACATTTTTTAATTTCTTGACACTCAAACCCAAGAGGTTTTATTTTTATTTTTTATTTGTATAGCACTTTTAATCAAAATAAAAATCCTTTGTCTAAAATATTCTGCATATGTAAAATATTGGCCGGGCGTGGTGGCTCACGCCTGTAATCCCAACACTTTGAGAGGCCGAGGTGGGCGGATCACGAGGTCAGGAGATCGAGACCAACCTGGCTAACATGGTGAAACCCCGTCTCTACTAAAAATACAAAAAATTAGCCAGGCGTGGTGGTGGACGCCTGTAATCCCAGCTACTCGGGAGGCTGAGGCAGGAGAATGGCGTGAACCCGGGAGGCAGAGCTTGCAGTGAGCCGAGATTGCGCTACTGCACTCACTTCAGCCTGGGGGACAAAGTGAAACTCTGTCCAAAAAAAAAAAAAAAACTATGCTAATTTTATTACTTTATTTTAAAACTGCATTTTTTGGTCCATAACTGGCTAAGATTTCAGGAACCAGAGCCACATCTAGATATCACTTCGAAAAATTACATGATATCAAAAATACCTGGCACTAGTGATAACCATCACTTTAAATGATTCGAAGCCAAATACAAAAATCATATGCTATCTATTTACTTCCCATGTGCATAGCATGCTGTTGTCTGGTTTTGGCTTTTAATGTCAAGTTCATGCATATGAACCTCCAAAATACCTGACAGATTTAGACAAGTCAATTAAACAACCTTTTGCATTAAAAAAGTCAGAAAGCAGGTTAAACTTATGTTATAGAATTATCAGTAGAAATTTTTAAAATCTGCTGGCCATGATGTAAGCTTAAATTTGTTTCTATTGACACAGAGCATTTACTCCTAGATTTCCGAAAATTGATTCTATTCTCTTAATCAGGATGTATTCCCTTACACTTGATCAGTTACATTTCATTTTTTCTCATTTCTAATATCCAAGACTATACTTACGCATGCAAATTAAAGTGAAAATTTCACAGTCATCTGGTATATTTGGCCTCTGCGGAAACCTAATCCAAAAAAAGGAAAGAAAGAAGAGCCAGATTATTTTTATCTTAAAGTACATTTCAGGCTAATATTAAGTAAAGTGATTGCCCACAGCAACCTAAATTAATTGTATTTTTAATATTAATTGTAGCCTCTCTTCTTTACTTTGCATTGCAAAAATCACTCCAGGTTTCTGTTTTATTCTACATTGCAATGTCATTGCACACCTGCTAAATTAACACCTTAAGTACATTTAACCATAACTGGTTTTATATCCTTGTTAGTAATGATAGTTAGTGAATATGGATTATAATTGTAATGGTAACTGTGGCTTTCCTTGAGTTTTTCCTTCCTCCCCCTCAATATTATCTTTTTATTTTTTTTATTTTTTTTATTTTTTATTGAGACAGAATCTCACTCCTGTTGCTGAGGCTGGAGTACAGTGCCGCGATCATGGCTCATTGCAGCCTTGACTTCCCAGGTGCCAGTGATTCTCTCACCTCAACCTCCCATGTAGCTGGGACCACAGGCACATGCCATCATGCCTGGCTAATTTTTTGTATTTTTAGTAGAGAGAGGGTTTCGCTATGTTGCCCAGGCTTGTCTTGAACTCCTGGGCTCAAGGGATCCACCCACCTCAGCCTCCCAAAGTGCTGGGATTACAGGTGAAAGCCACCATGTCCGGCCTTCAAAATTATCTTTGTAATACTATTTTTACAGTAATTTTGTCTCTGAATAAATTTGTCATTTACTCTTTGAGCTGAAGATGTCCACATAATCAAGCCAATTTGAATTAACTTGTCAAGTATGAGTGATTGGACAAACTACAGCAACTTAGACTATAGCAAACAGCTTGCTACAGTCTGGATTTAGTTATCCACACCTCTATTTCTTGTATGCATTGCATATTACACTTTTATTCCCAAAGAGGCACTATTTTGGGCTACCATGTTTAGACACATTTATCAAATAGTCTTTCTAGATTTGTTCATTTGTCCATGCTCTTTTTCAGATCCCCTCCTGGGCCTAGCACAGGTACTGTGTGCTGGGCTAAACTGAAATGAATATGAAGTCTATGGCCATACCACCCTGAACACACCCGACCTTATCTGATCTTGGAAGCTCGACAGGGTCAGGCCTGATTAATACTTGGATGGGAAATGAATGTACTTGAGTTGGAGGGAAGAAGGGGTATGGTTGTTGTTTGATTTTTTTTTTTTTTGGACCTCTCAGCAAGTTGATTTTCTAGACTTACCAAATAAAAGTCCTATGTGATTTTCATTAAAAAAAGGACCAATGCGTAAATGAGAGGGGAAAATAGTTCATTCTGAGGCAGAAGCATCCAGTAGAACCACTATCTAGTTTCCCATCACTGAGAATATTCTAACAGAGGTTTGGCTGACCACCCAACCTCATCTGTAAATTGGGAACAATAATAGCATATGTGATCATGTCAAAAGGTATTCTTGCGGAAGGTAGGAGGCATGACCAACTCATCCTGGTTTGCTGGGACTTTCCCAGTTTTAATACTGTAAGTCCCATGTTTTCAGAATCCCTTCAGTCACAGTGGGGCTAGATGACTTCTGAGTTTTCTTCCAACTCTTAAGACTCTCAGTTGCAGGGTCTGCCTCCAGCAAAACTGGGAGGTAGGAGGAAGTTTATTTTCTGTACCTTTTACTGGACTTTCTCACTTCTTTAGCTGCCGCAGGCCTTTACTTCCTTCCCTTATCTACTCTCAAAATCTGCTTTTACAACTATCAGTTTGTTTGTGCATAAATAATTTGTTATTCTTCCAAGTGCTATTAACAGATACCAGATAACAAAGCCATAAAATAAAATAATCTTCACAAGTTTTTCCAGGCATCACCATATCTTGGGAGTCAGAGCGACCTTACCAAACCTTTACCTGATAAATTTAATTCCATCAAAAAAGGTAAGAATAAATATATGAGTATATTATACATCTGCAATAAAAAAATCACAAATAAGAGCATGTATCTGTATAAAAAAAAGCAGGCAAGCTATAAAAAAAACTATATCTTGATGTTTCTTTTATTACTAATTCTCTACTTATTCATCTGTTTTATTGTTACCAACACACTAGAAAACAAATAATAACAATAAGCAAAGGTTTAATAAAAATGTATGGGAAATAACTTCACTTTGAGAAAACTATTTTATTTTCTGCAAATGAGATCGCCATTTTAGCCTAGTTCACAAAACAGCTGAGTGCCAAGGATTTATAGATGAAGAAAACTGAGGAAACAAATGCAACTCCAAATTCAGATATTAACCAACTGTGGTAAGATTTTATTCATGATTTAGTAGATGCAACATGGAATTTAGTAAATAAATATGTAGGTTTAGAAAAAAATGGTCTCCAAACTTTGGCCAGCAATTTAAAAAAAATTTAAACTTACTTCCAAAAGATGCATATCTATTTATTTGTAAGTTAATATATTCTACAATACCAACATAGTAAGTACATGGTGTAAAATAAATATATAGGCATTTCAAACATGAGTTAAACGTAAACATAAGTTTTAGCATTTCCTCCCTAAAACCTAGGAGATTGTCTACATACTCTGGTTTGCCTGAACCCGACTTTAAGGATCAGTGATTTGGAGAAATTATAGATTAACTGTTATTTCATTTATTGCCAAGTTCCCTTAAATTACATAACAGCATTGCTGCCTATGGTAGCTAAATCCCAAGTTTGGAAGGAGACCTCATTTTGCTGGCTCATCTATGCACTCTGAGGATGTCATGTAACCCTCACAGCTTCCTTGCAATGGCTTCAGTTCATCAGTATGTGACTGCTAGTGTCTGAACTTCCACAGTGGCTGTAGGCGTTTAGGAGCCTCCTTAGCTCCTAGCTAGGGAGTAGTAAGATTGTGACTCCACAAAAGAACACATATGTTGTCTCAGCTCACACTCAGCAAGAACTTTCTAAAAATGTAATACTGTTATAATGGTAATGTACTTTGGCTTTGGAATTTCAACTTCATTCTTTTTTAGATTTCAGTTCTATAAAGGGTAAGAAATTCTCCATCTTTTTATCTGCTATCCCTTTTTATTTATTTATTTTTATTTATTTATTTTTTGAGACAGAGTCTCACTCTGTTGCCAGGCTGGAGTGCAGTGGCACAGTCTCGGCTTATTGCAATCTCTGCCTCCCAGGTTCAAGTAATTCTCCTGCCTCAGCGTCCGGAGTAGCTGAGATTACAGGCGAGCGCCACCACACCCAGCTAATTTTTGTATTTTTAGTAGAGATGGGGTTTCACGATGTTGGCCAGGATGGTCTCAATCCCCTGACCTCATGATCCACCTGCGTGGGCCTCCCAAAGTGCTGGGATTACAGGCGTGAGCCACCGCACCTTGCCTGTTTATTTATTTTTGAACGTATTAATCATAGTTACTTTAAACCACGTTGTCTGTTAACTTCAACATCTGGATCACCTGTGGATCTATTGCTATTGTTTATTTGGTTTTTTTCCCCCTCTCTTGGCTTATTTTGATTTTTTTTTTTTTTGAGATGGAGTTTCGCTCTTGTTGCCCAGGCTGGAGTGCAATGGCATGATCTCGGCTCACCGCAACCTCCGCCTCCCAGATTCAAACCATTCTCCTGCCTCAGCCTCCCGAGTAGCTGGGATTACAGGCATTCGCCACCAATGCCTAGCAAATTTTTTGTATTTCTGAGAACTTATTTTTTGAGACAGTCTCGCTCTGTCACCCAGGCTGGAGTGCAGTGGCACCATCTTGGCTCACTGCAAACTCTGCCTCCCAGATTCTTCTGCTTCAGCCTCCTGAGTAGCTGGGATTACAGGCACCCACCACCATGCCCAGTTAATTTTTGTATTTTTAGTAAAGATGGGGTTTTGCCATGTTGGTCAGGCTGCTCTCGAACTCCTGACCTCAGGTAATCCACCTGCCTCAGCCTCCCAAAGTGCTGGGATTACAGATGTGAGCCACTGCGCCCAGCCTGATATTTCTAAGAATTTTTGAATGAATGCTGAACATTGTTTATTTAAAAAATGGTAGAGTGTGCAGATGATGATATCTTCTACCAGAGAGGGTTTACCTTTTCCTCTGCTAGGCAGAACAAGAGTATTAAAAATGAGTTTTCATTTATAATATTAGTGGAAGTCAAGATGTGAGATTGGCTAAAATACTTTAAAGTTACCCTGTCCAGTGTACCAAAAAGAAAAAAAAGGAGGTGGGAAGGATGATAGTACAAAAAGCATGATTCCTAAACATTCTTGAGACTAGTTGATAATTGGAAGTTTTCCAATTTCCTCCTGCCAACTGTATGGATAACTGAGTCCTGATTCATTCACACAGCTTCTTTCATGCAAGGGTGGCAAAGCACCTAATATTTCTGAAAGTAGGGACTTCATCCAGCTTGCAGAACAAGTTATATAAACACTTTTAGGATCTTTCTAATAAGTGCCTGAGCACATGTCAGAATTTGGTCTGAGGCTTCCTTTCATTTTAACATGTTACTTGGTAGCAAGGATGTTCAAGCTGCAGAGGAAGGAGAGGGGAAAAAGCCTATAGCTCTCTCAGCTCCACGTAACTGTAGTTGACCTTTGAACAATGCGGGGTTAGGAGCGCCAACCTCCACACAGTCAAAAATCCATGTATGACTTTTTTTTTTTTTAATAGACACAGAATCTCTCTGTCACCCAGGCTGGAGTGCAATGGCATGATCCGAGCTCACTGTATCCTTGAACTTCTGAGCTCACGCAATCCTCCCACCTCAGCGTCCTGAGTAGCTGGGACCACCGTCACGTACCACCATGCCCAGCTAATTAAAAAAAAATTTTTTTTTTTGGTAGAGACAGGATATCACCATCTTGCACAGGTTGGTATGTATAACCTTTGTACCTACTGCCCAAAAACATAACTACTAACAGCCTACTCTTGACTGAAAGCTTTGCCAATAACATACACAGTTGATTAACATACATTTTGTATATGTATTATATACTATAGTCTCATAAGTTAGAGAAAAGAAAAATGTTATTAAGAAAATAATAAGGAAGAGAAAATATATTTACCATTCATTAAGTGAAAGTGGATCATCATAAGTCTTCATCCTCTTGTCTTCACACTGAGCAGGCTGAGGAGGAGGAAAAGAGGGGTTGGTCTTCCTGTCTCAGGGGTGGCAGAGGCAGAAGAAAATCCACGTATAAGTGGATCTGCACAGTTTAAGCCTGGGGTGTTCAAGGGTAAGTTGTATTTATAGCTATTGATACCAATCAAAAATTTTAAAAAGCCGGTGATTACACGTGAATAAATTGGCTTTGGCCTGTTCATATCTGGAGTCAAAATAATCACAATAACATTTGGAAAATAGAAAAAATTATATAAAAATAATGAAGAACAGTGACCCTAAGTATCTACTGTTAGCAAATGTTTTAGTATTTTTCCAGCATAGTTTTAACATTGTTTTACTCATTCTGTAAGTTAGATTTTGCAGGCTGCTCTTTCTTTTTCTCTTTCTTTCTTTCTTTCTTTCTTTCTTTCTTTCTTTCTTTCTTTCTTTCTTTCTTTCTTTTCCTTTCTTTCTTTCCTTCCTTCCTTCCTTCTTTCCTTCTTTCTTTCTTTCTTTCTTTTTTTTCTTGACAGATTCGGGCTGTGTCGCCCAGACTGGAGTACAGTGGCATGATCTCGGCTCACTGCAACCTCTGCCACCTGGGTACATGCTGTTCTCCCGCTTCAGCCTCCCGAGTAGCTGGGACTACAGGCACACACCACCACGCTTGGTTAATTATTTATATTTTTAGTAGAGACGGGGTTTCACCATGTTGGCCACGCTGGTCTCAAACTCCAGACCTCAGGTGATCCACCCACCTCAGTTTCCCAAAGTGCTGGGATTATAGGTGTGAGCCACTGTGCCCAGCCACAGGCTGCTCTTACCTATTATCATTAGAAGATTATTTTCCATGGTAGTATATAGTCCTCTTAAACATCATATTTGATGATTGCATGGTATTCCTTATGTCATAGTATTTCTATTTTTTATTTTATTTTATATTTTATATTTTTATTTTTTTTTTGAGACAGAATCTCACTCTGTAGCCCAGGCTGGAGTGCAGTGGCACAATCTCGGCTCACTGCAAGCTCCGCCTCCCAGGTTCACGCCATTCTCCCTCCTCAGCCTCCCAAGTAGCTGGGAATACAGGCACCTGCCACCACGCCTGGCTAATTTTGTTTTTGTATTTTTAGTAGAGACGGGGTTTCACTGTGTTAGCCAGGATGGTCTTGATCTCCTGACCTTGTGATCCGCCCGCCTCGGCCTCCCAAAGTGCTGGGATTACAGGCATAAGCCACCACGCCCGGCCTATGTCATAGTATTTTTAAGCCATTCCATAATTGTCATTACTAATATTTTGCTATTTTCAGCAATTCCATGATGAACATTGTTGCATTTATAACTTTTTCTTTTTAAATTTAGAGTGATTTTATTGTGATAGATATGCAGAAGTGGACTCAAGGTTAAGAACATGTTGAAGTTCCTTGATATATGCTACCCAGATTCTCTTCAAAAGCAATTCTTAGAAAGGTTCACTCATCCCGATTGTATAAATTCTTAACCACAACTTCATATTACAGCACAGTTGAAAAATGACTGTGCAACATGCATTATGAGTTGTGTCCCGTGGTTTCACTACAGGACATTTGTATTCATTTATTCAAAGCTACATATTGGACATTTTGGAAACAACTGGGGAAATCTGACTGTGGAATTGATAAAAGGAAAAAGTTTCTATTGTGTGTTCATCATAAATCATAATAGAAAAAAGACTTGGCTGGGCATAGTGGCTCACGCCTGTAACCCCAACAGTTTGGGAGGCTGAGATAGAAGGATCGCCTTAGGCTAGGAGTTCAAGACCAGCCTGGGCAACAGAGCAAGTCCTCATCTCTAAAAGGTAAAAAACAAACAAACAAACAACAACAACAAAAAACCTTAATTCTCAGGGAACAACCATCATATTCAATCAATTCATTTAAAAAATTCCAGGGTGGGTACAGTAGCTCGTGTCAGCACTTTGAGAAGCTGAGGTGGGAGGATCACTTGAGCTCAGGAGTTCAAGACCAGTTGGGGCACATAATGAGACCCCTATCTCTACAAATAAAAAATTAAAAAAATTAGCCAGGTGTGGTGGCACATTCCTATCATCCCAGCTACTTGGGAGACTGAGGTGGGAGGATCCTTGGAGCCCAGGAGGTGAGGCTACAGTTAGCCATGATCATGCCACTGAACTACAGCCTGAGTGACAAAGGGAGACCCTGTCTTAAAAAAAAAAATCCAAAATTTGCAAAGTTAAATCCTTCTACACTGCAGGAACACTTAACTCTGCATCACCAAAATGACACACTGTCCTCTGTGGACATTACATTTTATTTTCAAGGTCTTTATTTTTACATTGGCTAAGAAAGAGTTGAAGAAAATTCCCTCTGAGGAGCAACTCTTCACAGAAACAAGTTTTACTGGTCAAACTGCACCCTCTCCATATTAGTTTTCTAAGGCCTCCATAATAAATGATCCCAAACTCTTTCCTGTGAACTCTGTCTTGGTCTCCTCAGACTCCGTACAATGTCTCCCCTGTTCAGCGTTTCTACTGGGCTATCCCTCAGTCTTCCCTTCTCACACTGGGACCTGGACGCTGTCTCAGGAGGGCTCACCTCATTTGTTTCCCAACCCTCAGGAATCACTGTCCTTCACTGCCTCATATCCAAGTGTCTTGAAAATTTTTGTTTCATATGTTTTGTTTATTTTGTTGCTGTTTGAGATGTGTGGGTCAATGGTATTTACCATTAAGATATCCCCAAAATAACTATAGCAGTATTGATAATGGGATGAGTCTTAAGAAAAATATAAATTATCATAAGGATTCAAAAAGAGAGAGAAATTAATGTGCAGAAGGCTTATATGGAGAGGATAGCCCTTGGGCCAGTCTTCGTGGTATGGGAGGAATTTGAACTTACAGAGAAGATGGATACGGTAGAGGAAAGAGAAGCATAAAGTAAAAGGTAATCCAGCAGAGGAGTAAGCATGGGTGAAAGTGAGCCCTACAGGATGATGGTTTTGTGAAAATGTTTCCAGGAATAATTCTATATATTTCATAACCTATATTAAGAAGTATTCTTGTTTTGTGGGTGAAATAATCTATTCTTATATTTCCAACAAAAATCTTTGATAGGCTATTTGCTCTACGCTATGCAGTTATGCTGCCTTCTGGTCCAGTTCATTCATCAAGAAGGATTTGTCGAGCACTGGTCAAAGTTCTAGGTGCAGAAGCTACTTTGGTGAACAAAACAAAGACCCCTGGCTGCTGTGGAGTTAACAACTTAGGACATATTGGCAGCAGGAGAGTGGGAGGGAAGGGAGACAATAAACAGTAATTACGATATAGTCAGGCTCTTCCCACACAACTTCATCATTTTCTTTTCCTTTTTTGAGACAGAGTCTTGCTCTGTCACCCAGGCTGGAGTGCAGGGGCACAATGTTGACTCATTGCAACCTCTGCCTGCTGGGTTCAAGCAATTCTCCTGTCTCAGCCTCCCGAGTAGCTGGGACTACAGATGCCCATCACCACACCTGGCTAATTTTTGTATTTTTAGTAGGACGGGGTTTCACCATATTGGTCAGGCTGGTCTCGAACTCCTGACCTCAGGTGATCCACCCACTTCAGCCTCCCAAAGTGTTGGGATTGCAGGCATGAGCCACTGCACCCAACCACCTTCATCACTTACAAAGAAAATCCTTCCTTAAGAGAAAATATCTTTATCTTAAGTGCATAAGGTAAATAGTTTAATTTGCCTTGTATACCAACCTGTTTCTTGTATAGGGGAGACCCTCTTGTGAAGGAGTTTCTGGGATCATGTAGTTCTGTGGTGCCATGTGGGGATGGAAAGAGTTGCTTTTAATGGGTAGTTAATAAAAATGTACATTCTTAAGTCTATGTTTAGAACTGGCATTAATTCTAAACGCTGAAATGTTGCTGTTTCCCCATCAAAAGCAGCTTTATGTTATGCTGCGGATGAATGGGGCTTTATGAGCAAATCGGTAGGTTGTGCTAATTGGTAGGTATGTTATGGTTGAAAGAAGAATATGAAATTCCACTCTGGACACTAAACTGTGCCGACTTCAAACTTGGAATGCTGAACATTGAGTAGGGGATTTTATTTTTCTGTCTCTTAAAGTTACACAACTAGGTGGTAGCAAATAGTACCCACGGCTACCAATAAACTGTGTTCAAAGGAAACACCCACCTTCCATGAGTTCTGTGAGCACTTCTTCATGGTTTAAAATCTCAGGGCAACATTGCCCTTCTGGACATTATATCTCAGAGAGGGATATTCTTGGGTATCTGTGAGTTTTCTAAGAGCTTTTCCAAGAACTTTCCAATTGTGTTTTTTCATTTATGTGATAATCATGAAAAACTGACACATATGCATTTGGGATGGTGGAGAGGGTGCCCTATATGACAGAATTCCTGGGGCAGTGTCCACACTCTGTTCATTCATGCTCCATGAGTGCAGACTGCAGCACGGAGGGCTCTCCGGGATCGTGTAGTTCTGTGGTGCTGCATCTTGTTACCATCTTAAACTGTCTACTGTCACTAAGTTTTAGTGCTGCCTTTGTATTTCATTCATTCATTCTACACATGACTATTGAGAGCCTTCTATGGTGACACCATTTTAGGAACGGGAGATTCAAGTTTATATTTCTTAAAATTGTGTTCAGCTGATGTAACAGAAAAGCTAAATAATAGTGGTTTAATCAAACAGGTTTCTTTTTCCTCACAGAACAAACAGCTCAGAGTCCAGGGCTCCTGCAGTTGCTCAAAGCCCAGGCTCTGGCCAGGCACAGGGGCTCATGCATGTAGTCCCAACACTCTGGGAGGCTGAGGTGGGTGGATTGCTTGAGTATAGGAGTTTGAGACCAGGCTGGGCAACATGGCGAAACCCTGTCTCTACAAAAAAATACAAAAATTAACCAGGCGTGGTGGTGCATGCCTGTAGTCCCAGCTACTCAGGAGGCTGAAATGGGAGGATCATTTGATCCTGGAAGGTCAAGGCTGCAGTGAGCCAAGATCATGTCACTGCACTCCAGCCTGGGCGACAGAATGAGTCCCTGTCTCAAAAAAAAAAAAAAAAAAAAATATATATATATATATATATATATAGAGAGAGAGAGAGAGAGAGAGAGAATATATATTATATATCTATATATTATATAGAGATATATAGATATATAGAGATAATATATATTATAGTATGTTATAGATATATAGATATATATAGATAATATACATATATATAGATAGATAGAGAGAGAGAAAGAGAGAGCACCCAGGCTCCTTCCACTGGCCTGCTCTACCTCTGGTACAGCATTCAGTTTTTATTCCCAGGGCTGCAAGAGGGCTGTTGCATCTCCAGGAAACAGGTCCACATTCCAGGGAGGAAGAAGGGCAGAGGGAAGAGCAAGTCAGAAGAGCTTCTTTCCTTTAGAGAGCATTTCCTGAAGCCCCACCCCACTACTGCTCACAGCTCATCACTTGGCCACCAATATTTTCAAAGGAAACGGCAAATGTGTACTTTGACTAGGCATATTGACATCTCAAAGGTACTTCAAGATGTGTTAGGAAAAAAAAAAGAAAGGGGGAGGGAGGAAGGGAGGACAGGAGGAAGGAAGGAAAGAAGGAAGGAAGGAAGGAAAGGAGGAAGGGAGGATAGAGAGGGACGGAGGAGGGAAGAAGGGGGAAGGAAGAAAGCATTTTGAGTAGGCAACTCAAAATGAAGTATCTGCCACAGTAGTGAACAAGGCAGACAAGATATCTGCCCTCCTGCAGCTGACACTCTATTAGAGGAGACTGCAAACTTCATTATTGTTAACTTAATTTCTGTCATGTCCAGATTAATTTCTATTCATATGGAGATTAACTCAGCCACATTCAGAATTTTTCCTCTTGTTTTTCCACTGGTATTAATTCTAAACTGAAACTTTGCTGTTTCCCCATTAAATGAAGAGACAGCATCCATCTCTGAGTCTGTCTCTGACCTGTGCTGGCCTTGGCAGCATTGTGTAATTGTCTCATCCTGGTCTTTTGTTGTCAGCCTCTACCCCACACTTGCTGAGAGGTCTCTGATCTATACATGCATTGTCCAAGCTTCTTTTTTTCTATCAGCTGCAAAGCTTGGAGCTATCACCGCCATTTTGTGACCATGAGAAGACAACAAACAAACAAACAAATAGAAATGCTACAAATGATAGCGCAGAAAGATAAAAGGAAATTGAGTCTTTGGCACCATTATTGAGTTCCTGAACTAACCTTGGAATCACCTACATCTGAACTTCTTTTCTTAAAATTAACTTTTAAATTGACAAAATTGTATATATTTATTATGTACAACATGATGTTTTGAAATATGTGTGCTTTGTGGAGTGTGGATTTCTTAAATAAACAACAAATGTCTTTATGGTTTACACCCTAGTTTAAACCACGGTTCTGCAAATGTTTTCTGTAAAGGGCCAGATATTAAATGTTTTAGGCTTTGCAGACCAAGAGGCAAAATAGAAGGTATTAGGTATGTACCTGTATGTGAAGAAAAAAACAAATTTCTACAATTTTTTTTACTGGAAAAATCCAAAATATAATCATCGAATATAATACAGGCTCACTACTGAGATAGTGGGGAGAGATAGAGAACACTCACTTAATTGGGGCTAGTGCTGCCTCGCATCATGGTGGAAACATGGCCTCATTTGCCTACACAACTTTCCCTTGCTTCTCTGAGACACAGTGATCTTCCCTCTTGGGAACTCAGCACCATCTGTTGCCCACATCTCTCTTTTGCCACTCACATACCTGTCTTCATAGTGCTGGATACCTTTTCATGTGGGGAGAATAGGCTCGAAATTAAGGCTCCTTGAGTTTGAATCCCAGCTTTCCAGCTGAACTACTACTTAATTCACCTTTTTTTTTTTTTTGAGACAAAGTCTTGCTTGTCACCCAGGCTGCAGTGCAATGGCACCATCTCAGCTCACTGCAATCTCTGCCTGCCGGGTTCAAGCAATTCTCATGCATCAGCCTCCCGAGTAGCTGGGATTACAGGCACGCCCCACCATGCCTAGCTAATTTTTTGTATTTTTAGTAGAGACAGGGTTTCACCATGTTGGCCAGGCTGGCCTCGAACTCCTGAGCTCAGGCAATCCACCCACCTCGGCCTCCCAAAGTGCTAGGATTACAGGCATGAGCCACCACGCCCGGCCAATTTTTGGAGCATCAGTTTCAAAGTTCATCTATAAAATGAGTAATAATACCTACTTCACAGAATTATAATGATAAAATGAGCTAACAAGTGCAAAACTTTAGAGTAGTGAATGGCATACTTTAATGCACTTTATTAGGTGTTATTCATCTTGTTATTTATTCAACCATGTAGTGATGTAAAAATCGTTCTTAGCTTTCCAGCTGTATGAAAACAGGCAATAGGCTGGATTTTGTTAAAAGAAAAGTCATTCATGACACTTGTTAAAGAAGGTAAGATAGACTTACCATTGGGATCAGTTGTAGGGGCCACTGCAATGGGGTTTTGCGGTGGGGGAGAGAGATTGAGCTCAACTTTGAACACAACAAAGACAAGTGGAAATTTTTAGCCAAGGAGCAGGATGCGGGTCAGATGGAAAAATTACTAAGAGGCAACATCAGAGGTAAAGGATTCTGGCTAAACCGACTTAGCAGGATTCTTGCTAAAACTGGACAATACAGAGATAAACATGGGAGCCCAAAGGTTGAGGCCTAGCTGAAAAAGAGCTCAGGCCGGGCGGAGTGGCTCACGCCTGTAATCCCAGCACTCTGGGGGGCCAATGCAGGTGGATCACCAAGTTTGAGACCAGTCCGGCCAACATGGTGAAACCCCATGTCTACTAAAATACAAAACTTAAGCTGGGCGTGGTGGCACATGCCTGTAATCCCAGCTGCTCGAGAGACTGAGGCAGGAGAATCGCTTGAACCCAGTAGGTGGAGGCTGCAGTGAGCCGAGATGGCGCCACTGCACTCATGCCTAAGCGACAGAGTAAGACTCTGTCTCAAATAGAAAAAAAAAAAAAAAGAAAGAAAGAAAAGAAAAAAGAAAGAGAGCTCAAAAAATTCTAACTAGAGAGTTCGGTCAAGGTGAGAATCTTTGCGAATTTGGCCCATGGGCCATACATAGATTGTTGACCCTAGTTTAAGCCACTGTTAGGTGCTGAAAGTGCAACTGAGTGCACAAGAGTAAGGGGGAAGGGGCAGGACCCTCCACATCAGCCAGCTGTCTTGTTTTATCTGCCATTCTTTCTACCTTTACCCTGAGAAGGCCATTTAGAGACCTCATTAGCAAGGATGTGAGGGGTTTTAAGCAGGAAAGGAAAACGACAAGACTTGCATTATAAAAAGATACTCTTAGGCCAGAGCGGTGGCTCAGGCCTGTAATCCCAGCACTTTGGGAGGCCAAGGTGGGTGGATCGCTTCAGGCCAGGAGTTTGAGACCAGCCTGGCCAATGTGACGAAACCTCCTCTATTTTGTAAAAATTAGCCTGGCGTGGTGGTGCATGGAGGTAATCCCAGCTACTCGGGAGGCTGAAGCAGGAGAATCGCTTGAACCCGTGAGGCGGAGGTTGCAGTGAGCCGAGATTGCACCACTGCACTCCAGCCTGGGCAACAGAGCGAGACTCTGCCTCAAAAAAAAAAAAAAAAAAAAAAAAAAAAAGAAAAGAAAAAGAAATAAAATAATTAAATAAAAATCAAAATCACTCCTCTGTAACTAGATAGGAAATGGATTGGAGGGAAATGAGAGTAGATGCCGAACAAATGAACAAAAAAGTTAGATTATTCCCACAGTCTAGGCAGTTTGTATTAGGGTGATAGCACTAGGAATAGAGAGAAGTGGACTTACTTGAGATGTATTTTGGAAGTAAAATGGACAGAACTCGCTGTCAATTGAATGTGGTTAGTGAAAGAAAGAAAGGAATTGAGAGAAATGCCAAGAGTTCTGGCTGATTCAGCCAAGCCCACCGCCGCCTCGGCCTTTGCAGAAGCTGGTTCCTTGTGGGGAATACTGTCCCCCGCGTTTTCTGACTCCTGCTTCCTTCTCATCTTGGTTTTCATGCCATCTCTTTACAGAGGACTTTACCCTATTTTCTTTATACCTTTATCCCTATCTGGCATTTTTTGCTGTTGTTGACTTATGTAGTGCCTCTCTCTCTCTCTCTAGTGACTAAGGCCCTTTTCACTGTCTAATTCACTGCTGTGTTTATCAAGTACCTAGAATAGTGTCTGCAACCAGGAAGAGTTGGAGGAAAGTTTGTTAAAAGACGAGTTGTGCTGAAAATAATTTAACAGTGGAGGTCTGAAACAGTTTTTTTGTGTGAAATCTGTGAACATTATTCAGGTCAAGAGATAGTGGATTATAGGGGCCATGAACTCTAATTGTATGAAGACTGCGTGTTGTGAGAGAAGACAGAGAGAAAAATGGCAATGTGCAGACACGAATGCACTTTTCTGAGAAAAGAGATCATAGCTCGCTTCACATTTGCAGATGAGTCCCTAACTTCAAAGACAGCCAAGAATCCTTGTGTTCTTGGCTTGAATATAGTCAAACTTTTCTACAAGTGTTAGCCGGTAATAAATACCCTAACTTATCACTATTTCCGCTTCCTAAAGTTTCTTTTCCAGACCAGCAGTGCCCTTCTGCTGAGTAATAGCCGAACCTTGAGCAGCGGAGATGCTCCAAGGGATGGGACACAGGATGTCCTGGACTCGTTTCTCCGCGCGGCATCTACCTATACTGCGATTAGCTTGAAATGGGAACAGTGCCACCTGCTGGCGCCTCTTGGAAACTGCAGTCTTGTCCATTCCTGTCGTTAATTTCGGAAACAGGATCTCATCCCACTCAAACACATGCTCAGAAACACAAACCATTTTCCCTTTTAAGCAGAATTTTTAAACACTAAGCGAGACACATAATGATAACATCTCTGAACACAAAAGATGCCAAACACAAAATTAAAAGATAAAAGGCAGGCCTGGTGCGACGGCTCACACCTGCAATCCCAGCACTTTGGGAGGCCAGGGAGGGAGGATTGCTTGAACCCAGGGGTTTGAGACCAGCCTGGGCAACATGGCGAGACCCTGTCTCTGTGAAAAATAAAAATAGCCGGGTGTGGTGGCGCGAGTCTGTAGTCCTAGCTACTCAGGAGGCTGAGGCAGGACGATCACTTGAACCCAGGAATTTGAGGCTGCAGTGAGCTATGATCGTGCCACTGCACTCCAGCCTGGCAACAAAGCGAGATTCCAGAGAGAGACAGAGCGCGAGCAGATGGAGAGAGAAAAAAAGTTTGCAACCATTTCTAAGGGGCTCTCCCATGAATATTCTTCTGTAGAATATTTAACATATTCTGTGGCCAGAATATATTAAATGTGTGGGGAGGAAAAATCTGTCAGTCTTTTCCTTTATGATTTCTGAGTTTTGTTGACTTTACAGGAAGGTTTTTCTGTAACTCATTATTAGTTCCAAAATGTTCACTATTTGGTTTGGCCAGATCTTCAAGCCCATATGATTTTTTTTTTTTTTTTTAAATATCAGACAGGATGAGGTGCAGAGTGAGCACCTAAGTTTTTTTTTTTTTTTTGAGACGGCGTCTCGCACTGTTGCCCGGGCTGGAGTGCAGTGGCGCAATCTCCGCTCACTGCAACCTCCCAGGTTCAAGCGATTCTCCTTGCCTCAGCCTCCCAAGTAGCTGGGATTACAGGTGCCTGCTGCCACGCCCGGCTAAGTTTTTTGTATTTTTAGTAGAGATGTGGTTTCACTATGCTGGCCAGGCCAGGCTGATCTCGAACTCCTGACCTCATGATCCGCCCGCCTCAGCCTCCCGAAGTACTGGGATTACAGGCATGAGCCACCGCTCCTGGCTGAGGATCTAAGTTTTAAGATTAGGTTAAGCTGCAGATGACAACAAACAAAATAGCAGAGGCTTAAACAAGATAGAAGTTTGTTTCTCAGGTAAAAAGCCAGGTACATGATTTGAGCTGGTATTGTGTTTCAAAGTGTGAGGGAGAGTGTTCAGTTCCATTTGTGCCTAGACCTGATGGCTCAAGACGGTGGCATCAGAGTTTCAAAGAGCAGGATGGAGGAAGAGAGAATAAAAGGGGAGTACACAGGTTCTGACCCTGAGGGCAAATCCCAGGAGTTGCCCTACAACGCTTTCATTTATCCCATTAGCCAGAACTTAGTCACATAACTAAAAATAAATATTGAAGGGGCAACCACCAATTTCCACCACAGATTACCGCCTTTGATTTATGTGAACACATCCTTCTAGTTACACACAGAGTAGTATATTTACCCCCCCCCCAAGGACCCATCCCTCACTACAGTCAGCTCCAAGTCCAAGATAGCAGGGTGAATACACAATTCTCATCACCAAAAACAAATGCATCTCATCGTCCAGCAAACTATAAATTAGAAGATGTTAAGTGCCCTAACACTCTTAATATACAACGTAGGAACAGAATAATTGCAATTCAGAAATGAAACAAGGTTTCCCTACTCTGGTAGTGGTTTTATGGCTTAGTTCATGAGGTAGCCCCTGATTCCGCTCTCTGAGGAAAACTCCTTGTGCGTCATTCCCAGGGAAGGTTCTTCATTGTCCATTATCTTTCCTGGCTATGACTGGGGCTGCACAGCTTTCAGAGTTCACTGTTGTTGATTAGGGTGGCCACACATAGCAGTTTGTCCAGAATAGTTCCTATTTACACCTGTTATTTCAATGTAATAATTAAGAGCTCTCCATTCTCTCAAAAATATTGCAGTTTGGCTAACACATTACATAATTGCTCTATTCCAAAATTCAATTCACAAGGAACTGCCAACAACCACATAAGCTTGGAAGAGGAATCCAAGCCTCAGATGAGATTGCAGCCTCAGACATCACCTTGATTTCAGCCTCGCGGAACCATGAACAGAGGACACAGCTGACATGTGCCTGAACCCATGAGAACTGTGAGATAATAAGGTTGCATTATTTTAAGACCTAACTTTGTGACCACTTGTTATACAGCAATAGAAAATGAATATATTTTCTATGACAGTGGGCTTGGGGGAAGGGCAATACACTTATTCTCATCTCTACCTTTAACCTTCTCCTGGGTAATGTTATCACTTTGGACCTACAGTCCACAAATTACAAGTGAGAGAAAGAAGGATCTTGACAGTCCAGTTCAGTGGACTTGGAAACATTTTTATTTTTTTATTTTTTTGAGATGGAGTCTCGCTCTGTTGCCCAGGCTGGAGTGTAGCTAACTCTGCTCATTTAATCTCCACCTCCCAGTTCAAGTGATTCTCCTGCCTCAGCCTCCTGAGTAGATGGGATTACAGGTGCACGCCACCACGCCTGGCTAATTTTTTTGTATTTTTAGTAGAGATGGAATTTTGCCATGTTTGTCAGGCTGGTCTTAAACTCCTGACCTCAAGTAATCTGCCTGCCTCGGCCTCCCAAAGTGCTGGGATTACAGGTGTGAGCCACTGCACCCAGCAGGGCAATCCTTGCAAAATTTGAAGTTGTAAGAAGTTCTGCTGGGCTCAAATGTCTCCTCAAATAACCCAGACAAGAGAGGAGGAGTTCAGTATGGCTGCTAATTCCTTTCTTCCATTCTGAGTCTTCCCTGCCATCTTTCCTATTGTCATGTCAATCTACTTACTTGAGGCAATAATTTCAATGTTTTATCATGGCCTAACAAGGGTCACCAGCTTTCCAGCCTGCAATATCTAGGCCCTACTAAATCCCCCTAGTCACTGGAGTAATATTCCCTTCCTCTAGGGCATTATTTTTGACTGTTACAAGGATTAGGAGGTGTCAGTAGCATTTAGTGTCTAGGGATAGAGGAGAACAGTCTTGCACGTTGTAGTGGACTCAGATGTCAGCAGAACCCCTGTTGACTTACATTGCCTTTAACCAATGCCACACTTCAGATTTTGATACTTGCAGGATCCTATTTCTGGCACTAAATGCTATATAGGGTGAGAGGCAGGGGTTGCAGGGGTGGCAGGGGTGATAAGAAATAAAATACATTCCAAAGAGCAGTGGCTTAAATATGTTTATTTCTCAATAAATGTCCAGTGAGGAAGTTCAAGTTTGGTAAGGCTCTCCATAATGTCAGGAGCTCAGGTGCCATAGGCACTGCTTTTCAATTTTCTTTCTTTCTTTTTTTTTTTTTTTTTTTTTTATAGACACAAGAGAGTTTCACAGTGTTGCCCAGGCTGACTGTGAACTCCTGGGCTCAAGTGATCCTCCCACCTCAGTCTCCCAAAGTGCTGGGATTAGAGGTGTAAGCTACCACGCCTGGCCCATGCTTTTCAATTTTCTATAGGACTCTTATGTTATTGTGCTGTAGGTACTCATTAGATTTTTGAAAAAGTAACCACCTGTTAGGTAAGTTGCAAATGTTTTCCCTTGTGAATGATGTCTTCTGACTTTGTTTAGAGCATTTTAAGCCATGTAGAAAATCTTAATTTTTATGAAGTATATATATATTTTTTTTTCTTGAGATGGAGTCTCACTCTGTTGTCCACGCTGGAATGCAGTGGCACGATCTTGGCTCACTGCAACCTCCGCCTCCCGAGTTCACACGATTCTTCTGCCTCAGTCTCCCAAGTAGCTCGGATTACAGGCACCCACCACCATGCCTGGATAATTTTGGTATTTTTTAGTAGAGACGGGGTTTCACCATGTTGGCCAGGCTGGTCTCGGACTCCTGAACTCAAGTGATCTGCCCACCTTGGCTTCCCAAAGTGCTGGGATTACAGGCATGAGACACTGCACCCAGCCAAATACATTTTTATTTTTATTGAATGGATTCTAAGGGTTTTTTCTAAAATTATTCTGATATTGCTATTACTTAAAAAATACCATTTCTTCAAGAACATTTATGATATCTTTTTTTTTTTTTTTTTGAGATGGAATCTCGCTCTGTCACCCAGGCTAGAGTGCAGTGGCGCAATCTCAGCTCACTGCAACCTCCGTAGCTGGGATTACAGGAACCCATCACCACACCCGGCTAATTTTTGTACTTTTAGTAGAGACGGGGTTTCACCATGTTGGACAGGGTGGTTTCCAACTCCTGACCTCAAGTGATCCGCCTGCCTCGGCCTCCCAAAGTGCTGGGATTACAGGTGTGAGCCACCGCACGTGGCCAATATCATTTTATATCATTAAATCTTTGGTGCAATTTTAACTTGGTGTAAGGTATGAGGTATAGATCCAACTTTTCTCCCACAGCTGGCTACCCTGTTGTCTCAGCATCATTCATCTGTTGCCCCATTGATTTGAGATGCTGCCCTTAAAGTGAGGATTAGGGACTAAACTTTATCAAATGGTTTAATGATATTTTCTCAGAGAATTATATGTGCTTTTCTTTAATATGCTAATATAGGAGGCTACTGTACTAGATTTCCTAACAGGGAACAATCATTGGTTTCCAGTGATAAACCATACTTGATCATAATGTAGTATTCTTTATTAATGTATTAAGGAATTTTACTTTTGACTATACAGGGAAGTTTGATCAGTTTTCTGGTTTTGGTGCTATTCTTATTTAAGCTTATAAATAAGTCTCATAAAATGATATCTATCTTTTTCTACCATCTAAAATAATTTCTGTAACATAGAAAATTATCTGTATGTGGTAAGTTGGATAAAATTCTCTGTAAAATAATGAGTCTAATGACTTTTTAAAGGGGTATTAGTAAACTTTCTATTCTATTCATCCTATGGTTATGACCTGTCATTTTTCTACTTTTGCCCGACTCAATCTTTGTATATATTTCCTTTCACGTAGAGTTATATGTCAGCATAAGTTGTATAATTTTTTAAATGACATTTAAAATTTGAGATTGTTGTAATGAACACCTATATACCTATTATCCAATTAAAAAAAGTTACAATCCTTTTATACAGTTCCCTAATCCTATTCCCTTATGTTCCTCCCCACACATATATTATTCTACTTTTTTTGAGAGATAGGGTCTCACTTGGCCACCCAGGCTGGAGTGCAGTGACATGATCAAAGCTCACTGTAATTTGAACTCCTGGGCTCAAGTGATCCTCTTGCCTCAACCTCCTGAGTAGCTAGGACCATAGGCACACATCACTGTGCCCAGCTAATTTTAAAATTTTTCTAGAAATGGGGTCTTGATATATTGCCCAGGCTGATCTTGGAACACCTGGGCTCAAGCGATTCTAGCACCTTGGCCTCCCAAGGTGCCTGGATTATAGGTGTGAGCCACACATCTGGCCTGATTTGGTGTTTTAATCCATTGTATGTTTATAGAGTCACTATATATAAAATGATAAAACATTTGTATTGTTTTATGTATTTTTAAACGTTAGTATACAACTTGTTTTGTTCTCTCAACAGGGGTTTTCATAGTATGTTAATATAACCTCTGACTCACAAGTTTTTAAAAGCTGTATGCTCTCCCAGTGTTAACAAACCACAGTATCTGTACTCATTCGCTGTGGTTGGATATTTAGGTTGACTTACGGTTTTGCCTTTTCAAGTCTCTGGAATGAGATTTATTTCCTTTAAAAATTTCTCTTTCTCCTCTGTAAAGCCCCGAAGTAAGGGGCAAATGAGTGTGCGTGGGCAGGCTTTTCTTTACCTTGCCTTTTCCTCACTGGAGATGCTTTCAGTGTCCTGGAACACTGATCTCCTATATTTTGCTCTCCTTTTTCAAAGAACTAAAGTCTTCCCTAAGTCCTTAATTTATACTTAAGAGAGTTATTGCTCCCGGCTATTTCTGTTTAGTATTCTTTTGGGAAACAGGAGGCAAGCCTTCATTTTCAGGTCAAAGTCTGGGATGGAAGAGATCCAGATCAGGTATTCAGACGCTGAGAGTCTAGCAAGTTAGCAGCCCAAAGGAAGGTGACACTTTGTGCTGTTTAGTCAGCAAGATTTTTTGGGATATCCTTGCAGTAAAATAATTCCTTGAAAATTTATTTGGTTAAAGAGCTGGGCATTTTACAAATTTTCCCAGAAGTCATCAATCTTCTAAGATATGCCAACTGGGCTTCCTTAACAGTCTTCTACTAATCAGCATGCTTTAACTGCAGATTGTCCCACACACAGCTCATGTTATGAGAGTCAGTGGCTGATTTGGTATCCGTGATGTTTTTTTTTTTTTTGAGACGGAGTCTTGCTCTGTCGCCCAGGCTGGAGTGCAGTGGTGAGATCTCGGCTCACTGCAACCTCCGCCTCCTGGGTTCAAGCAATTCTCTTGCCTCAGCCTCCTGAGTAGCTGGGACTACAGGTGCACACCACCATGCCTAGCTAATTTTTGTATTTTTAGTAGAGACGGAGTTTCACCATGTTGGCCAGGATGGCCTCGATCTCTTGACCTTGTGATGCACCTGCCTCAGCCTCCCAAAGTGCTGGAATTACAGGCGTGAGCCACTGCGCCCAACCCGTGATGTGTTTTCTAGCGAGTTTGTGTGAAAAAAAATCTGTTTTCTGATACAGTCACACTGCAAAAATGGAAACTGACGTTAACTAATACTCTTTTGTTAGATTATACCAAAACCAGAGAGAAAATATCTTATTAGCCATACTATAGTTTATAAGAACACTGATTCTTAACGTTACTGTTATAATTTCATTTTGTACTGTGCTGTTTTAAAGTCAGATTTAGTTTTGAACTGGATGACATTCTGACCCATGACATTTCTTTACCAGAAACCTATTATCTACATATTAATGCTTCACTGAGATACAAGAGGATTTCCTTCCTACCACTGGCATGCATACTTGCCAAAGCAGTTTAAAACTCATCCTTTCCAGAAAACCTCCCTTGGCTTGACATCTCTTTAAAAGCTATCTTAGGTAAGGCTTGAAGTTTATCTTACAAACAATCTGTGTTGTCCATGGCACATCTTCCTAAACAGGTTTAAGGTGTGCCAAGATACTGATCTTCTTAACCCTTACAACAATTAGCATGCAGCCTTGTCCATTTCCTGCAGTGTGCCTTATTTATTTGTATATTTTCAGACAGGTTCTCACTCTATCACCCAGGTTAGAGTGCAGTGGCACGATCACAGCTGACTGCAGCCTCAACCTGTCCAGGCTCAGGTGATCCTCCCAGCTCAGCTCCTGAGTAGCTGGGACTACAGGCGTACGCCACACCTGGCTAATTTTTGTATTTTTAGTAGAGACAGAGTTTTGCCATGTTGCCTAGGCTGGTCTTGAACTCCTAGACTGAAAGGATCCACCTGCCTCAGCCTCCCGAAGTGCTGGGATTAGAAGTGTGAGCTACTGTGCCCAGCCACAAATATCATTTTCTACATATGTTGTGATGTGACAAGGGTAGGAAAACACTGTTGTTCCATGAGTAGTTTGTAGATTGCTTTAAGAAACGGTTTTCTATTTTCCAAACTCCACAACGCCTAGAACAGCTCTCTCAATACATCTGCTTAAATGTGAATGACCTGACATTAATTTCTAATGCTAACTAGACCTTAAAAATTTAATCGGCTATTTTAATCTTAACCTGTGAATATTTTGCGTATTCTGCAATAGCTAGCACTACTGGTCAAACTTACAATAAAGCTTTTGCATAATACTCAGAATGTCAAATTTGGATATGTCTACACAGCATCTGCCTTTAAGAAGTCCTCAGTTTCAAGCCCCCAAATCTATACTATTCATTCATTCATTCGTTCATTCATTCATTCATTCATTCATTCAGAGATGGAGTTTCACTCTTTGGAGTGCAATGGCGTGATCTTGGCTCACTGCAACCTCTGCCTCCCAGGCTCAAGCAATTGTTTCAGCCTCCCAAGTAGCTGGGATTACAGGTGTGCACCACCACGCCTGGCTAATTTTGTATTTTTTTAGTAGAGATGAGGTTTCACCACGCTGGTCAGGCTGGTCTCAAATTCCTGACCTCAGGTGATCCACCTGCCTCAGCCTCCCAAAGTGCTGGGATTACAGGCATGAGCCACCGTGCCTGGCCCAAAATTTACATTTAAGACTAGCAAGTACACTATGATTCTTTTAAATACTGCATCTTAAGAGAAGTGAACAGAAATACACATCTTTCTTGGGATGTTTCATAACATGCACGCATTACAAAACACCTGTGTTAACTCCTGGCTAAATGTGCCTTTACATTTCATACCCCATAGATGGCAAAGGCGCAAACTGATCATCAGTATGGAAGATCTTTTGAAAGGGTCTTTCATTATTCCAAAGGTTTCAGTGTGGCTACTAAAAGTCACAATGACTTTAACTGTAGAAAGGGCTACCCAAATGTCACACAACTGTCAATAGTTGTCCCTGATTACTTTTCCAAGAATTTCACATTTCAAGAACATTTGCAATGAACGAGAACTTCCAGGACATCTTTTTTTTAATGCTCTTACTACTATTTTAGTTTCCAAAATCCCAAATGAGGAAAAGCCGCATGAATATCTGCATATTTATATAACTTATTAAAATGTAATCATATATCCAAGTGTACTCTGGAAAAGCACCACTCATGCCAGAACTCTTACTTCTATCAGAATTCTTGATTTTAATGTCACAGAGGTGACCTTTCCAATGCTGAGTGGCACAGTTGCTTAAGTCCTCTCCTCTCTCCCCTCAGCCAGTCACTCCGTTGGTCATATTTGTCATTACTAGTAACTCCTCAAAACCTCAATTTTAATTAAGCACACCATTCTCCAATCACCACTTCTTACATTTCCTTTTTCTTTTTTTGAGACAGACTCTCACCCTGTCACCCAGGCTGCAGTGAAGTGGCACAGTCTCCGCTCGTTGTAACTGTCACTTCCTGGGTTCAAAGATTCTCCTGCCTCAGCCTCCTGAGTAGCTGGGACTACAGGCATGTGCCACCATGCCCGGCTAATATTTGTATTTTTAATACAGAAGGGGTTTCATCATATTAGCCAGACTGGTCTTGAACTCCTGACCTTAAATGATCCACTTGCCGTGGCCTCCCAAAGTGCTGGGATTATAGGCGTGAGCCATCGTGGCCAGCCCACCACTTTTTTTTTTTTTTGGGACAGAGTCTCGCTCTGTCGCCAGCCTGGAGTGCAGTGGCACAATCTCGGCTCACTGCAACCTTCGCATCCTGGGTTCAAGCGATTCTCCTGCCTCAGCCTCCCTAGTAGCTGGGACTACAGGCACACCACCACGCCCAGCTAATTTTTGTATTTTTAGTAGAGATGGGGTTGCACCATATTGGCCAGGATGGTCTTGATCTCTGGACCTCATGATCCACCCACCTCAGCCTCCTAAAGTGCTGGGATTACAGGCATGAGCCACTGCGCCCGGCCCACTTCTTACATTTCCAGGTCATTCTTTCTAGTTCCCCTACTTTAACACACCTATAATCCACTGGTTGTACATTTTCACTATCCCTCCCCCCGTCTCAAGCCCTCACTTCCCTGCTTACCCAGCTGAAATTCCACAGACCATCATCATACCCTGCCCCTCTTCATGTGGTCATTCACTCTGGGCAAAACCACAGCCCTGGTGAAATTTATTTCATCTACTCTATGCCTGCACCCAAACAGCTTTACACGGTTGAAGAAAAACATACAGCCATGCTCATCATTGGTCTCATTTACTTTAAATTCATTATCACTAACCTTGAGGTCCTTCATCCTGTCTGCCTATAAAATTGTTTCCAGGTTCATGCACTTTCCCATTCTTCTAGCCCAGAGCTTTCCTCTAGTTCCTGTCTCCTGTATCTAACTGCTACATGAGATATTTCTCCTTTGAATAGAAAACTGAGCTCCTGACCAGCCTTCTTCTCCAAACCAACTTGCTCCTACAAGAATCTTCCTCAATTTCTCCAGCCCCAGACATGGTTCTCTTTATCTCACACTCCATGACCAAACTCTCCCCAGGTCTTGCTGATTTTACCTTTAGGATATACCTAGACCTCACTGCTTTATACCACCTCTACAGCAACCACCTCAGTCCAAGCCAGCATGCTCTCTCAACTAGATTACTGCAGTAGTCTCCTAGCTGTTCTCCCTGATTATGCCTTTGCCACCACACTTCAGCCTACTCAGCAAAGCAGCCATAATGTCTCCTACTAAAATTACATCCCTGAGCTATAGGATACTCTGGGTTTCCATTCTTCTTTCACTTTAATAAATGCCATTCTTTTATTATTATTATTATTTTGAGACAGAGGCTCCCTGTGTCACCCAGGCTGGAGTACAGTGGCTCGATCTCTGCTCACTGCAACCTCCACCTCCCGGGTTCAAATGATTCTCCTGTCTCAGCCTCCTGAGTAGTTGGGATTACAGGCGCGCATCACCATCCCCGGCTAATTTTTTTTTGTTTTTAGTAGAGACGGGGTTTCAGCATGTTGGTCAGGCTGGTCTCGAACTCCTGACCTCGTGATCCACCCGCCTCGGCCTCCCAAAGTGCTGGGATTACAGGTGTGAGCCACTGTGCCCTGCCTAATAAATGCCATTCTTATACTATAAAAGACTATTCTGTGCCATCATTATTTCAGACTGTTCTAAATTATATTATTATTATTATTATTATTATTTTTTGAGACAGAGTCTTGCTCTGTCACCCAGGCTGGAGTGCAGTGGCGCGATCTCGGCTCACTGCGAGCTCCGCCTCCCGGGTTCACGCCATTCTCCTGCCTCAGCCTCCCGAGTAGCTGGGACTACAAGCGCCTGTCACCACACCCGGCTAATTTTTTGTATTTTTAGTAGAGACAGGGTTTCACTGTGTTAGTCAGGGTGGTCTCAATCTCCTGACCCCGTGATCCACCCGCCTCGGCCTCCCAAAGTGCTGGGATTACAGATGTGAGCCACCGCGCCCAGCCTGTTCTAAATTATTTTTGATAAATCTTCCGTCTCACAAGCAAATCACCTTAAAAACAGTTGCATACATTTTCAGTAATGCATTCCAGACTAGAACAGAGATAGGAAATTGATGACTTTCATGGGATAGAAACTCATGATGGCCTAACTGATACAACTAAGCTTGTCAATTAGATCTAGTATTTAGTTCACCATCATCAAACTTTCAAATATATATATTTTAAAAAGGAACAGATAATTAATGTTACCAATTCATTTTCTTTAGGAATCCCAATGTGCCAAAACTTGTATTTTAAAACTAAAGAAAAGATGATTTAGACAAAATGTCATAATTTCATATTATATTCTCAATGCTTTCAAAGCCCAACAGTGATTTTAAAAAGAAATTAAACAACATGCTTTCATTGAATTTTTAAAAATCTATACAATTCAAGCTAATGAAATATTTTATTGTACATAATAAAAGTGGTGTTTTTCTAAAAAAAAAAACAATAAAATAAAATAAAAAAAAAATTTCCAGGCCCAGACGTCTGTGGGAGTACGTGAGGAAAGGATTCCACTCAAGTATAATCAGCAATACTCTATTGAATGAAACCATAACTCCACTTCACTCCCTATGGTAAATACTAACATTCACCACAGGCTTGAAATTCCTGTAGCATCAGTAGAACTATTTTTGAAAATATTACAAACATGCTTATGATGCATAGGAGGATGAAAAAATTTAGACTGTAACCGCACACCATATGTAATCCCAGCTTTTCTAATTTACAACCAGTTAAGAATTACAATATCCAAAGAAAGTATTTTAAAATATATATGCTCACTGGTAAGTGATTTTCTACTCAAATAAATAGGAAAATTTGCATTTTAATGTCACATTGAATTTCAGTACTTTTCAATCCAAGAAAAAAAAAATAAACCGAGACATGGTCATGAGTTCAGGATTATATATATTACAATTTGCCTTGTTATAATACATTTGTGGCTTTATGATAAAAATAACTCAGGGACATATGGAATTCAAGCTGATTTGCGTAACTGTCACAAGAAAAAAAGCATTAAATGCATTTCTGAAATAAGTATTTTCATTAATTTCAGAATCTCAAAACAGCATTAGACCTTGCCTTGTTTAAAAAAAATTTAGTTCAACACTAAGCTAGCTAAATAACCTTCTTGAAAGGTTTAAACACAATTGATATAGAAAATGCTTTCCCTCTAATCTCAACTTTACATAAATGGAACAGGTGAGGAAGAAAAGGTAGACAATTTCTTTAGCAGCATATATGGCTAAATCCATCAACCACCTTAAACTAGAATGTCCATTATTGACCCCATTAAAAAGAACTGGGGAAATATCAAAAATTACTGATTTCATAAACCAAAAGACATCAATTTTAGGGTTACAGTTAGTAAAATATTTTTGAGACACTTCAAAAACTTTTAACCATAAACTAGAAGAATCATCTCTTCATTGTAAGAAAGAAAGGCCTAACAGAAAGACATTTAAACTAAACTGATTTTCAATCCTCTTAGAACAAACAAAATGAAAAATAATGGTTGATTAGCTAAGCTTTGTGCTCTAATCAAACTAATTAATTACAGTGATTTTAAATGGCAACAGCCCATCTGACTGGGCAGCTTGACAGTTCAGAATACTTTTGCAATGATTTTTTAACGCAAAGACACTAAAATGATCCGGTCATGCAATGTTCATCTTATGCATTCTGCATCTCTTTGCCAATCTTGTAGCTAAGGATCTTGTTCCAATCAATCTTAGTGCGTGTAACTGGCAACTGTCGACGTAAGGCTTTGAAAGTAGTGTCCGACATTGTCTGATAATTCTCACTGATGGCAGTCTATGAAAAACAATAGTTAGAAGTTTAAAGTAAAGCAAAGAACAGAACAATTTATAAAGCACATAGATGTTTTCAGAATAAGTTTTATTTAAGCAGCCTGTTTCACTGTTTTTAAACAGTCAAATAAAATCCCAACATTGTTTTAAAAGCTGTTTAACAGCAGCTAGAAGAGCCGGGCGCGGTGGCTCACGCCTGTAATCCCAGCACTTTGGGAGGCTGAGGTGGGCGGATCACGAGGTCAGGAGATCGAGACCATCCTGGCTAACACAGTGAAACCCTGTCTCTACCAAAAATACAAAAAAAAATTAGTCGGGCATGGTGGCGGGCGTCTGTAGTCCCGGCTACTCGGGAAGCTGAGGTGGGAGAATGGCGTGAACCTGGAAGGCGGAGCTTGCAGTGAGGCGAGATCGCGCCACTGCACTCCAGCCTGGGCCACAGAGCAAGACTCTGTCTTCAAAAATAAATAAATAAATAAATAAAATAAAAGCAGCTAGAAGAAAAAGCCTATAATAATTTTGAATAAACTTAATGAAATAAAACTATAAATTAGACTTAATATTTGTGTGTCATTTTGAATTTATTTTAGTATGTCAGAACAATTTATAGATTATTATTTTTAAGGAGTAGAAACTTGTCCAATTCACAAATTAAATGGTTCAATTCAAGAGTGTAGTTTAGAAGCTGATAAATAATATAAAAAGTAAAGCACAAAATGAAATGTGATCTAAACAGATTACACATAATCCAAATGCTAAGACACAGCCTGAATTAAAATTTCCAACCAGAAAAAAAATAGCCACTTAAAGTCTGGCATATTTTGACTGATACAGGTTGAGCATCCCTAACTGAAAAATCCAGTTTCCAAAGCTTGAAACATTTTGAGCATCAACATGACACTCAAAGGCAATGCTCACTGAAGCACTAATGCAGATTTCTAATTTTCAGATTATGGAAGCTTGACTGGTAAATAGATAATGCAAATATTCCAAAATCCAAAAAAATCTGAAATCTAAAACACTTCTGGTTCCAAGCAACTCAGATCAGAGATACTCAATCTGCACTCAGAAATTATGTTGGCCAAAACCTAGTCTTTTTTTTTTTTGAGACGGAGTCTCGCTCTGTCACCAGGCTGGAGTGCAGTGGCGTGATCTCAGCTCACTGCAACCTCTGCCTCTCAGGTTCAAGCGATTGTCCTGCCTCAGCCTCCCGAGTAGCACTCGTCACTACAGGCACATGCCACCACACACAGCTAATTTTTGTATTTTTAGTAGAGACAGGGTTTCACCATGTTGGCCAGGATGGTCTTGATCTCTTGACCTCGTGATCCACCTGCCTCGGCTTCCCAGTGTTGGGATTACAGGCGTGAGCCTCCGCGCTCGGCCTAGTCTTAGTATTTTGAAAACACAAACTATTAATGGAATTCAATTTACTTGCCACTCTTTTTGCCTACACATTAGTAAGTCTGCCTTTGTGTTAAAAGCAGACACACAACAAAAAGACTCTAACTGATGCAATGGAAAAATTCAGCCTTTGGCTGAAATTAAAATTTCAGTGACATTAATTCATATGTGAGTGTAGCTTATATAATATTTAAAAAATCATACCTGGTATTCATTTTCTGCAGCTTCTACAATCTTTATAAATTCTTTTGCTGTTTGCACTTCATTCTGAAAAAAAAAAAAACAAAATAAAAATAGTAATTTAAAACTAAACCACTATTATTTTAAAATATATGTATGGTTAATGTAATGTTATAATAAATAACACAGAAGGAAATTATGACATAGAATAAATATTGTAAGATCAATTATTCTAAGTCTAAGGGGAAAATAGGTAAAATTATTTTAAAAGTCTACAGAATAAGCTGGTCTCAATGTTCAGCTGGCTAAGGAAAGTGAAATCTCAATGATACACACATGGATGAAAAGTTCAATTTTAAACACTGGACATGCATTCCAATAGACAACCTTTATGGGTAAGAAGTTTGGTAAAGATTTCTAATTGATGACTCTTTATCTGAATATTGTTAAATATTTACTGAACATTACGTAACAGAACAGTGATACCAAAAAAAAAAAAAAAATCACTAATCAGGAAGAATGTATTTTTCTGGAAATTTTTTTTTTAACATGCCAATAGATGGGTTTGTTTGCTTTTTCCTAACAGTAAAGTTAACAGAATCTGGATTTAAAAAATAAAACAGTGTTAATGTAAAAGTCTCTAACACCTTATACTTTATATATATGGTGTAAAAATATAAAACAATGAAAACCTCCTAAGATAGAGTAAAAATGGTCATTCCTAAAAAAACGAGCACAAACTGGCATATTAGTCAAGTTTAATTACTATGACCATCTCTCAAAACCGTACCCTCTGTACTCTTGTGGACAAATTTCTCTTAGGAAGCATCTGTTTTTTTTTTTTGAGACAGGGTCTCAGCCTGTAGCACAGGCTGGAGTGCAGCAGTGTGATCTTGGCTCACTGTAATCTCCGCCTCCCAGGTTCAAGCAATTTTCATGCCTCAGCCACCCAAATAGCTGGAACTATAGGAATGTGCCACCATTCCCGTCTCATTTTTGTATTTTTAGTGGAGATGGGGTTTTGTATTTTTAGTAGAGACGAGGTTTCGTCATATTGGCCAGGCTGGTCTCGCACTCCTGACCTCAAGTGATCCACCTACCTCAGCTTCCCGAAATGATAGGATTACAGACGTGAGCCACCGCACCCATCCAGGAAGCATCTTCGCTCAATGTCAAACTCCCCAAACAAGACGGCACCATACCCTTGTTATGTCAATAATATTGAATGTAGTAATTACATATGATATGTAACTATATGGAGAACATCTCATGGAAAATCAGACATTAGTAAGTTTTTTTCACTGGCAAATTTTGCAAGGAGAGTACCAATTAGGTCAAAGCAGAAATCACCTAAGTGCTAGTAAAAATTTTTTTAAAAGATAGCTTCAGGGGCTGGGTGTGGTGGCCCATGCCTGTAATCCCAGCACTCTGGGAGGCCAAGGCAGAAAGGTTGGTTGTGGCCAGGGTTTGAGACCAGCCTGGACAATATGGTGAGACCCCATCTCTACAAAAAATAAATTAGCTGGGCATGGTGGCACACGCCTATAGTCCCAGCTACTAGAGAGGCTGAGGCAGGAGGATGGCTTGAGCCCAGGATGTCGAGGCTGCAGTGAGCTGTATTCACACACTGCACTGTAACCTGGGCAACAGAGTGACACCCTGTCTCAAAAAAATACGTGTGTGTGTGTGTGTGTGTGTGTGTGTGTGTGTGTGTATGTATGTATATGTAAATATAGCTTATCTTCTTAGGTAGCATCTGTCTTAACACATTCATACATGTTTCTTAAATGCTTTCTTGAGTTAAAAATAAATTTTTCTGGCCGGGCGCAGTGGCTCACGCCTGTAATCCCAGCACTTTGGGAGGCCGAGGTGGGTGGATCACGAGGTCAGGAGATCGAGACCATCCTGGCTAACACGGTGAAACCCCGTCTCTACTAAAAATACAAAAAAAATTAGCCGGGTGTGGTAGTGGGCACCTGTAGTCCCAGCTACTCGGGAGGCTGAGGCAGGAGAATGGCGTGAACCCAGGAGGCGGAGCTTGCAGTGAGCCAAGACAGCGCCACTGCAGTCCAGCCTGGGCGAAAGAGCGAGACTCCGTCTCAAAAAAAAAAAAAAAAAAAATTTTCTTTAATATCTGTAAATTGTATATAAGCAGTTGATGTTTATAATACACAGATACTTTTAGGTATATGACACAAACAAATGAGAAAATGTCACTGTTAAATGTTATACTGTCAATATCCATGGGGCAAAAAAACCAAAAGCCAAACTTTTGGAGGCCAAGGTGGGTAAACTGCATGAGTCCAGGAGTTCAAGACTAGCTGGGCAACATGGTGAAACCCCATCTCTACCAAAAAAAAAAAAAAAAAAAAAAAAATTAGCTGGGTGTGGTGGCACGTGCCTGTAGTCCCAGCTACTCAGGAGGCTCAACTGGGAGAATGGCTAGAGCCCTAGAGGCAGAGGTTGCAGTGAGCTGAGATCATGCCAGCCTGGGTGACAGAGCCAGGTCTTGTCTCAAAAAAACAAAACCAACCAAACCAACAAAAATCAACAAGGAAACAGTTGCATATGCAAGGGAAAGAATGTGTGAAAGAATTCTGTGGAGAAATAAAACCAAGTTCAAAAATTCTTAAATTTGAAAGATGAACTTAAAAAAAAAACTTCATTAAATCATGATCCAAATAGCTACTGAAATGAAAAGATAGGATACAGTTTAAAAGTTAGGTAGAAGATCATAGACCTAAATGTAAGAGCTAAAACTATTATATAATACTTTTAGAAGAAAACACTGGAGTAGATCTCCACGACCTTGGGTAGACAATGGTTTCTATTAATATTTCAAATCTCAAATGACAAAAGAAAAAAATCAAAACCAAAATCTTCTGTTTTGCAAACAATATCATCAAGAAAGTGAAAAGACAACACAGAGAAGGATGAAAATATCTGAAATCATGTATGTGATACACTGGACTTGTATCCAGAATATATGAACAAGTACAACTCAGTAATACAAATGTGAATAATCAATTAGGAAATGAGCAAAGGATCTGAATAGGTATTTCCCCCCAAAAGATATACAAATGATCATAAGCACAAGAAAAGATGCTCAAAATCATTAGCATCAAGAAAATGTAAATAAAAACCACAATAAGACACTACTTCATACTGACTAGGATGGCTATCATCAAAAGGACACATTTTGGAAAAAGATACAGAAAAACTGAAACTCTTATACACTGCTGGTGAAACTATAAGATGGAAAACAGTCTGGCAGTTCTTCAAAAGGTTAAACATAGTTACCAAATGACCCAGCAATTCCACTCCTATGTATATACCAAAAATAAATTTAAAAAGCTACACAAAAAATAGTACACAAATGTTCACAGCAGCAAAAAGTAGAACACAGAAATGTCCATTAACTGAAGAATGGATAAAATGTGGTATGTCCATAAAACAGAGTATTATTTGGCAATAAAAAGGAACAACGTACTAATACATGCTCCAAAAAGGATGAATGTTGAACATGTTAAATGAAAAAAGCCAGTCAGAAAAGACTATATATTATGATTACATTTATATCAAATGTCCAGCACAAGCAAATCCACAGAGCCAGAAAGTAGATTAGCCACTGCCTAGGGCTGGGAGGGTTCTGGGGGAAGGGCTGGGTAGAATGGAGAATGATTGCTAATGGTACAGTGTTTCTTTTAAGGAGCATGAAAATGTTCTAAAATTAGATTGTGGTGACTGCTGTCCAACCCTGTTAGTAATATACAAAAAAAAAAGAGAAAAATTTGAAGCTTATATTTTAAATGAATGAACTGAATGGTATACAAATTATATCTCAAAGCTGCAAAAAAGTTAGGTACAGGTTTGCAATTACTTATCTTTAATCTATCAGAAAACACGGTAATCTGAAGCAGAAATATTACTTAAAATGTTCATTCCAAAACTGTTCTGGTTTTACAGAAGTATTAGGTTAAATTTTATTGTGGAATTAATTACTTACAGACACTGTTAGGGAATCTTGTATATCTTTATGACTCACTAGCTGAACATTACCATCTTCATAATAATGAACCTATTAGAAAAAGAAATTACAGAAACCACATTACAGGAATCATCAAGAACCTTATTGCGTCAACAAGCATATCAATGCAGACTGACTACATATTTCAGCTCTAGTCTAGACTTCTCTGCTGAGCCCCAAAACTTTTGAACTCCAGCAAGACTCTTCCTGCCCTCAGCCTAGTGAGGAGACTAGTTAGAGATATTCCTGTAGTTATTCAGGCAAGCCTTCTATTGACCTGACTGCTGGACATTTTTGCCTCACAGTCATTCATTCTACTGGTATCTAAAACCAAGATGTCCAAATCTGAGCTCACAATATTCCTTCCCAATCCTGTTCTTCTTTTGTGTATTTCCACCAACCATTTAATTCCCCAAACTCAGACATGAATTTACTCAACAAACACTGAATGAGTGCTGTAAACACTGCTGCTACATAAGGTACTGAGGTTATATGGCTTTTAAAAAGACACAGTCCCTGATCTCGTATTTCAGCACAACATGGTAAAGGTATGTATAAAGTATGTTAGCAGTACTCTAGATTCTTTCTGAGGGTTAAAAAAGGCTTCAGTATATTTCAGAGAGGACTAGAGGTATGTGAAGTTGGGGAGAGTAATAGCTGTAGAAATATATACAGGTAGCAAACCAGTCAACTCTGGGCCTTGTATGTCATGCAAATATGTCTGGACTATCTGGCAGATGAGAGTGTACTACTAAATGGTCTTACATAGTCAAGTAACATATCCACATTTAAATTTAAAAAACTATCTTTTTGATGGCAGTGTGAATGTCAAAGAGTCCACCAATTCAACAAAATAACAATCATATGGTACTATGCTAAATGCTGAAGACTGTACTGTGAATCAGACAATCCTTGCTCTCAATAAGCTTTGGTCCTACAAGGGGCACCATTTTAAAACTGCTGTAATTATCCAGGTAAGCGCCACTGAGGCCTAAGTGAAGGAAGAATAATGCTGACAATAATGACTACCATTCATCGAGTACTTGGTGTCTGTCTGTCCTAACCCTTTTAGCCATATTAACTAAATCTTCAAACAATCACGTATGCTTTTTTTTTTTTTTTTTTTTTTGAGACGGAGTCTTGTTCTGTCGCCCAGGCTGGAGTGCAGTGGCGCAATCTCGGCTCACTGCAACCTCTGCCTCCCGGGTTCAAGCGATTCTCCTGCCTCAGCCTCCTGAGTAGCTGGGACTACAGGCACGTGTAATTTTTTGTATTTTTAGTAGAGATGGGGTTTCACTGTGTTAGCCAGGATGGTCTTGATCTCCTGACCTTGTGATCCACCCACCTCGGCCTCCCAAAGTGTTGGGATAACAGGCGTGAGCCACCGCGCCCAGCCAATACATACACGTTAATACATGCATACAATATATTTATACAACTACACACATGCATATATTAATATGATACTTCACCCCACTCCACCCAATTCAGAGGAGAGAAGTACACAACTCAAACTCAGAAGACGCCTGCATGAACAAATTGTATCTGAAGAGCAGACCAAATGGCAGCATCTAATTTTAGCTGTGTTTTATAATCTGTCAGCTATCCTTGCAGATTTTTGATGACTAGGGAATAAACTGCCAGGTTATTTAAAAGATTTAAAACAGCACTATTGTTTTTCCCATTACCCCAAAACAAAGACCTGAAAAAGAAATGTGTATGATATACTATGAAAATGTAAACTTAGGAATTAGTTGTTTCTCTGTTCAGAATCATCTAAAGATCAGTAAACAAATTATTTTTCATACCTGAATTTTCAAGATGCCAACCACTTGAGTGGTTGAAGGAGTGATTGTAAACTTCCATTCTGACCTCCAACGACCATTCCTTAAAAATAAAAACAGCAGCTGTAAATAAGGTAGGGAAAATAATTTGAATCAATTTTAAGTTTCAGATTATATTTCATGCTACAGTATGAGAGAGTGTGGGGGATGAATACTGGACATTAAATTTTTAATCACTGAAATAGTCAAAAATAATCAAAAGGTTAAGTCCAGTTATGATACATATTTAATTTTCACCCTACTGATAAGAAAGAACTTACATAATGGATTTAATGCCAGAATTCTAAAGCTAAGGCTTAAAATACAATTCAGGCTGGTGTGTGTGCAGTGCTGTTTGCCACTAATTGATCACAATCAGTTACAGGTTTCTTTGTTCCATCTCCACTTGACTAGCCTTAAAAAAAACAAAACAAAACAAAAACCAATACAAAACTAAGTCATAAGCTACTGTGGAGATAAATTTTAAGCTACTTCTTCAATCAAATCACTTATATTTCCAAAATAAATGGAATAAATGTTTAGATTAACAGGGGCTTTTATGAATACACTCAGTGTAGTTTAACATCTACTGAATGATACAAAGTACCATACAATTTAAAAAGAATGACTAGTAAATGTTATACAACACTCTTAAAGAGGTTTTGATATCTGGAAATAAAGGACTATACTTATTAACATGAGTTTTTTTTTTTTTAGTTTTCCAATTTTATGTTTAAAGTCTCCACATAAAAGGCATATCCTCCTTCTCTGCTCCTGAAATGATTTTTGGTATACAAATACATATTCATGGTTTGAAACTGAGAAATTACAAACTGGTATGTTACTACTTTTTGTCTACCAGTGAATTTTATCTTATTTTTCTTTTTTGACAAAATTCTGGATGAGTAGTTTAGCGTCTGATATTCTATTTTTCTGACAAACTTTTCAGGGTAACTTTTCTTTTTGTCTCTGTTTGCTCTCTGCACGCTAAGGACATTCTAATATGTTAGCTTTTTTGAACATTATATAATAGTCACAGGGTAATTAATCACTATACTGGCTTTTGCTAGACAATGATTTCTGGGTTCAATACTCATGTAGTCTACCCAATCATAAAGTCTATAGAATGATAGTACAAGTTGAGTCTTCCTAATTCAAAAATCTGAAATACCTCAAAATCTGCAACTTTTTGAGCACTGACATGATGCTCAAAGGAAACGATTATTGGAGCATTCTGAATTTTGAATTTTTGAATTAGGGATGTTAAACTGGTAAGTATGATGTAAATATTTAAAAATTTGAAATCCAAAAGACTTCTGGTCCCAAGCATTTTGGATAAGAGATATTCAACCTGTATTCTCATACTTACAGTTACACTGAATATTTGAAAATTATTATTAGAACAATGTATATGTTCTACAAAATAACAGATAATTTTATAACATGTCTTGATTTGAGTGACTCATCCAAGATTTTTCAAAGAAGGTTGGTTGGAAAAATAACTTGGAGGTTTATTCACTTTTGTTTCATGATTCCAAAAGAAGTATTCCTTTTATTGAGGTATTAGTGCCAAGCCAGCTAGTGAGTCCTTAGCATATATAAAATACTGACTAGGACAATATACATTTATATAACCATTGATTATGAAAAGAAAAAAAAATAATTCCAAACCAAGTAGTGGTACCAATTTGAGAACTATTTCAAAAGATTCTTCCAAAGGCATTAATTACTACAGTAACAGTAAATGACACTGAGTAGATAGTACTCTTTTATTAGTAGAGTAAATGGCCAATATGTCCTAGCCTTTAATTATATTCTGCCCCTCTCGTTTATTAACTCTGTAATTACAAATATGTATTCACTCAACAAACATTTATATTAAGCCCCTAATACTGCTAGATCCTGGAGAAATGGTAGAGACAAAGAAGAGAAGGTCTCTACTGAAATCTAAGAAACATCTAAGACTAGTTGCTTCTGATTTTTACTCTACCTATATTTTAGATGAACTGAAGTATATTTCTTTTTTTTTTCTTCTAGAGATAGGGTCTTGCTTTGTCACCCAGACTGAAGTGCAGTGGCGTGATTATAGCTCACTGCAGGCTTGAACTCTTGGGCTCAAGAGATCCTCTTGCCTCAGCCTCCCAAGTAGCTAGGACTATAGGCACGCACCACCATGCCTGGCTAATTTTTTTTTTTTTTTCCTAGAGATGGGGTCGTACTATGTTGCCCAGGTTTCTTGAACTCCTGGCCTCTGGCCATCCTCCTACCTTGGTCTCCAAAAGTGCTGGGATTACAGATGCCTGGCTTGAAGTATAGTTCTTTGTATTAACTACTTAGATTTTACTGAGACTATTGTGCCATGATATTATCACTATGGAAAAATCATATCAAAGCATATAAAATACATTTTTTTCCAGAAAGTGAAAGCCATTAAGTTAAGTGATACAATGCTCATAGTGATGGCTTAGGAAAAATTACCCTTGTAAAGTGAAATAGTGAGAATAGAAAATTCAATGACAAGTTGGGCACCATGTGAACCTGTAGTTCCAGCTACTTGGGAACCGGAGGCAGGAGGATCACTTGAGCCCTGGAATTTGAGACCGGCCTGGGCAACACAGCAAGACTCTGTCTCTAAACAGAAAATAAAACTCAAGGACAGACATTTTCTTCATTTTATATATGTTAAAGCTCAAAGGAATTAGATTTTAAAAAGACAAATTAGTAAGCTTATTGTAACAGCTCCAATGTATTATAAAGAAGAACGTAGTAAAAAGAATTTTCTTCTAATAGTAGCTCCATCTCAACAAGATTGATTTTATTATGTGTTTCCTGGCATAAATAACATAAATTAGTAATAATTTTATAAATATTGTTTCAGGATTCTAGATTAATGCTACAAGATTTTAGACCCAACACAGAGAAACTACACTTATATTAAGTCCATAAAAGTAACTCTATATGACAGAACCTTTAGGGAACTGTGGCTAGTCATTAAGGCATACATTCACATATGGCATTGATTTTCCTTCAGTGATGATGGATCTGCATTCCTCCAAATATTCTTGGTTAACCTTGCAACCCTGCATTTATTTCTGAGATGGCTAAGCAGTGGAGCAACCTTGGGCCATGAACCCAACTGGCCCACAGGGGTTACCTGTTACTTTACCCTTAATAGCACCACCAACCAACTTGGCTAGTAAGTCAAAGGCTAATATACTAAAAGGTAAATATTATGACCATACTTATTCTGGTGACCTCAGCATGTAAAACAGGGATAAACGTAAAGATTTCATTCAATTATGGACTTGTAAAGTCTTAAAGAACCTCAGAATTTTGTAACAGGTACTCAGAAATAGTCTTGTCTAAGAATAAAAATGACCAACAACTTGTCAAAGGTCCAAGACCAGTATGGTAAATCAGTGCTCCTGAGGGCTTGAAGTTTATAAGGAATAATGGAATTATTTGTACACAAAATTACAAGGCATGAATGTAATCTTCCTCATTGTATAAAACATGTCATTATTTCCTCACATTGGCTAACCAAGTACAAAGCAATCCTCTACTTCAGAGTCACAAAGTTCACAAAAGTAGTATCATTTTTTGTTCTATAATTATCTTTGTTCTCCTGCACATAAGTTTCATTCAGGAACAGCCCCTTCACAGAATGAGCATATGGATTGCCAACTGGTGTTCTCGCAGGCACACATGCTCCCTCAGGATGCTGTTTGCTAGTCCCATACTCTTTCCACTGAATGTCAACAGATTTACCACTACCTTTAGTGATTAGGCTGTTGAGCAAATTTACCTTCCTTATATCAAAAGGCTAAAATTTTATACCATCTCTAAATTGTTCTTAATCATAAACAAACAAGGTGTAGCCCAAATCACTAAAGCAAGAACTACAAAGACTTAAAACAATGCCAAAACTCCCCAATATCCAAAATTTTAACTTACCAAAAATTTTTTGCTTGGAACTGATGGCTTTCTATGCATGCAATAATGGTTTGCTGTCCATCTATTTTTTTGCCATACACCTTATTGGCAAAGAAAATAAGCATAAGAATGAATTTAGGGCCATGGAATGTCCAACTTTAAAAATCTATAAAATACTGCAAATTGTACAGTACTTTGACAAGAACACATAAAATACAAAGTAGGCCATCATTCCAATATAGTAGCTAGAAAAACATGTTCTCAAATATTTATGCGTAATCAAATTATTAGTGGACCACAAAAGGGGACACTAAATAAAATACAATTCATTAAAATTAATTGTACTCTGAAATATTCACGAACATTCTAGATAATCTACTTTCATAAGTAGATAATTTATTTTAAACATACAGATGCTAATCTAGCTTTTTCCATGCAAGTGAAAACTGGACCTAGCTTGTGATTATCACCTTTGTTCACTTCACAATCTTAGGGGCTGCTGTTTCTTTAGTCACTTAAAAGTACTGGAATAAATTAACTTACTTATAAGTGAGAAAGGTCGTTAAGAGAATGCCTGTGATGTATCACAATGCTATTTCACCTCTTGCCTACTGCTTTAAAAATAATAATTAATTTGTGCCTTTCAATCCTCTAGAATAAATGAGGACTCTCTAACAAGTACTCCCTTAACTCTCGTTATTCCTCCAAAATAATCCTGATGAACAAGTTATAATTCAAGTAATACATAAGATATTTGAGGTTATGTTGCAATATTTCTCAAATAATCAGAGAGCTAGATACTTAAGCAGACCATATGAATTTTTGTCCTAACCAGGAAACTTCCAAGAAAGAAATGGGGTACGCTACTGGTGATATTAATAATTACATTGAGAAAGCAGGTATAAACTAGGATATATGGTAGAGTTAGGTTGGAGGGGTAAGCAGAGGCCACGTGGTCACAGGGCCTTTAAGCCACCTTCAAAAGCCTGGACTCTTAAGTCCAGGCAACGGGAAATCTCTGAAGGATTTCAAGCAGGGAATTTTAATGACCTGATTTGCATTTCAAAAGATCACTCTGGCAATGGAAAAGGCCACTGAAGCACAAACTGGGGGTGCTAAAAAAGCCTGTCAGGGTACAAATAATATTATGAAATTTTTAAAAAAGAAATGTATTCCTACTACCATATTTTGTATTTCTTTTTTTTCTTTTCTTTTTTTTTTTTTTGAGACAGAGTCTCACTCTGTTGACTGGGCTGGAGTGGAGTGGCGCAATCTCGGCTCACTGCAACCTCTGCCTCCTGGGTTCAAGCAATTCTGCCTCAGCCTCCCGAGTAGCTGGGACTACAGGCACGTGCTACCACGCCCGGCTAATTGTTTTTTTTTTTTTTTTTTTTAAGTAGAGACAGGGTTTCACCATGCTGGCCAGGCAGGTCTCGAACTCCTGATCTCAGGTGATCCACCTGCCTCGGCCTCCCAAAGTGCTGGGATTACAGGCGTGAGCCACTGTGCCCAGCCATATATTTCTTGAAAATATAAAAATAGGTTGAACCTACGAAAGAACCACACAAAAAACACAAGAAATGTAACTGTAAAATACAGAAACACATAATTTTACTTCCAAGTAATTTTATTTGTTCTAAGATTTCTGTGACTTAATAAAAATAACTTTGATCTAAACTGAGACGAGTCATGAACATAAGATTACAGAATCTCACCATATCCTGCTCCTTTAATCAATGTATTAGAATTTCTACATGGATTTAAATCAAGGTACAACCATTTCTCTATTTTAAGCCATCCTAGTATATCTATTTATTATCCAGAATTTCTTGAAAAAATAGTAAACATTCTTAGAAATATTTAAGGAAAAAAATGACAAATTATACAATGTCAATTCTGTAAGTTACTGTAAATTTTAAGAGACGCTAAAGACTCACATTTACACAAAACACACACACAAAGCTGCTACTGATGACTTACAGTGCAGACTCCATTCGGGTAATGTTCTTTTACGTAAGCTCTCAGAGCAGTTTCTACTGAAGTTCTCCATGATTCAACTGCATTTTCTACTTCACAGGGTCTTGGATCAGTTGCCTCCTTCCTTAAGTGATCAAATTTAAAACAGATTCTGTTCTTTGGATCCAAAAACTTTCCATTTCCCAAGTCGCCATGTTCTGTTATCAATACCTTTGATGATGGAATGAATTTAGAAAAAAAATAAAAAAACAGCATTTCAATATTGATACATCATAATTACACTCATTTAAGCTTCTTCCTTAAAACTATAAAACAATCCTACTCCAAGCATATATTTTAACCATATGGTACAACTATTAATACTTCAAATGAGTTGACTATACAGACAATGACATTACTCTCATCCAGTGCAGATCAGATTTTCTCCCAATATAACTTCCAGCTACTGGTGAAAAAAAATGCAACCTCTAAAAACACTGTTCAAGTGGGTTTGGTGGGTTTTCTGCTTTGAGAACTCTAACAGTTTACAATGTCTGGTATCAGACTCCAGTTCCTCAAAACTACAGAACTTGTGAGAACCTCCAATCAGGGTGGTTACCTGAATGGCTTTGGTCTGGTGCAAATCCTCTTTGGTGTGTCCCCCACCTTGCCTCTGGGCCCACAGTCTTACCTACTTTGACGTATCTGTTTCTTGCTTCTTAAAAACTACATTGACAACTGATTTTAATTGACTTCCAAGTATTTAAAAACATACTTCATTTCCATAAATTTAAATAATACATCCACAATGCATAATGTATAATCTGATATTTTGTGCTTTATTTAAAAAATTTCCCCTTTTCCTTCTCTTGTAATTCTTCCAGTCTTTGACTCCTTAGCTATGTCGGGACTTATCCATCCCTCTGATATATATCATGCTAACAACACAGGATATACCTTTCTAAATTTTTTTTCATAGTCATAAAATCTTACAGATAAAGATATACACATGTCTATACTTGCATACACACAGAATTTTTTGGTCATTATTTTACTACACTTGATCTTAGCCAAAAGGCCGAGAAGCGACTGGTCATTATTTTATAAGAATGCAATGAAAATGTGTGTGTGTACGTACACACACACACACACACACACACACACACACACACACTCTTCTCTGCATCTGGCTTCTTTCAATATAAACATCCTATGGAAATCCCTCAAAGTCAAGTGATATATTTCTCACCATTCTTTTAAATGGCTGCATAATGTCCCATGACGTGATTATAACATAATTTAGTCTGCCAATCCACTACTGATGTGCCATCTCTTTATTTCTGGGCTGTTTCCTTTTTCGGGGAAAGGAGGAACACATTAAAAATGGTGAAATAAGACTGGGTGTGGTAGCTCATGCCTGTAATCCTAGTGCTTTGGGAGGCCAAGGGGGCAGGATAGCTTCAGCTCAGGAGGTTGAGACCAGCCCGGGCAACATAGTAAGACCTCATCTCTACAAAAAAATTTTTTAAAATTAGTCAGTCGTGGTGGCATGTGCCTGTAGTCCCAGCTACTCAGCCCAGGAGATTGAGGCTGCAGCGAGCTGTGATTGTGTCACTGCACTCCAGCCTGGGTGACAGAGCAGGACCCTGACTCAATAACAACAACAAAAAAGGTGAAATGAGTATTGCTGTACATATATTTTAACATACTGATGTTTTTATTTCCATTGGATCCTTTTATTTCTATTGAATAAATTCCCAAGCAGTGGTGGTAGGGACATCAGGTATTATAATTTTTAATATATACTCCTGTGACAATCCAAATTTCTACACATATATGAGAGTATGTTTCCATCCATATTACCACCAATGATAGGCACTATAGCTCTTTTTTTAGTCTGATGGTAGAAAATATATCATTTTAATTCCACTGACTACTGATAAAACTAAGTATGGCTTTTCACATTTGTGGGTCATTTGCTCTTCTGTGAGCAAATATAATAAAATATTTTTATCTGGTGTCTTTTTCTTATCAATTTATAAGAGTTCTTTAAGATAGGCTTCATTCTACAGTTAAAAACATTTATAGTAAAATGTCCATCTTTTATACTTCCTGGGTATCCAGTGTTATTTAAGATGGTCTCCCTAGCCCTGTATTGCACATGTAGACTCAGATTTTCTTCTAAAATGTTAGCCACTTTTCACATTTTAAAACCACCTGAAATCTATTTCTGTATACTGTATGTGACAGAGGTCCAACTTAATTTTCTTCTTATAGAAACCAGTTATGCCAATATCTGTATAAAATTTTTCATATATTCTGAGACTAAATTCTGGTTCTCCATGCTGCTCTAATGATTTTTTGTCTACTCCATACACCACCACATTGACTTAACATTGGCTGTAAAACAACTTGTACTATCTGGTAAGGCAATTCTCCCTCATTGTGCTTAATGGTTTTTTCATAAATATATACATATATATATATACACACATACACACACACACACACACACACACACACACATTTCTTCGTTATTTCAAGCATGTTTTTTTTTCCACATAAACTTTATGAAAATATTGACCAATTAAAAAAAAACTGATCAGGATTCTAATTCAAATTTCATCAAATCCATACATTACTTTTAAAATAATTTAATTTTCTATCTAAGAATGGAATGTAGAGCACCTTTCCATTGGTCAGATCCTGTTTTATGTGTTTCAAGAAGAGTATCACTATTTTCTTTCTTAACAGTTCAGGGGTACATGTGCAGGTTTATTATATAGGTAAACTTGTGTCATGCAGGTGTTGCACAGATTATTTCATCACCCAGGTATTAAGCCTAGTACCCATTAGTTATTTTTCCTGATCCTCTCCCTCCTCCCACCCTTCATCCTCTGATAGGTCCCAGTGTGTTTTGTTCCCCTCTATGTGTCATGTGTTCTCATCATTATCTCCCACTAATAAGTGAGAACATGTGATATTTGATTTTCTGCTAAGATATTTTATTAGTCTGCTAAGAATAATGGCCTTCAGCTCCATCCATGTTCTTGCAAAGGACATAAAGCTTGTTCTTTTTCACGGCTGCATAGTATTCTATGGTGTATATATGCCACATTTTCTTCACCTAGTCTATCATCACTGATATTTAGATTGATTCCACGTCTTTGCTATTGTGAATAGTGCTGTAATGAACATATGTGAGCATGTTTCTTTATAATAGAATGATTTCTGTTCCTTTGGGTATATAACCAGTAATGGGATTGCTGGGTCAAATGGTAATTCCGTTTTTAGATCTCTGAGGAATCGCCACACTGTCTTCTATAATAGTTGAATATACACTCCCACCAACAGTGTATAAGCATTCCTTTTGCTCCGTAACCTCACCAGCATCTGTTATTTTTTGACTTTCTAATAATAGCCATTCTGATTGGTTTGAAATGGTATCTCATTGTGGTTCTGATTTGCATTTTTCTAATTATCAGTGATGGTGATCTTTTTTCTCATATGCTTGTTTGGCCTCAAGTATGTCTGCTTTGGAAAAGTGTCTGTTCATATCCTTTGCCCACTTTTTAATGCGCTTGTTTTTATCTTTTAAATTTAAGTTCTTTATAGATGCTGGATTTAAACCTTTGTCAGAGGCATAATTTGCAAAATTTGTCTCCCATTCTGTAGGTTGTCTGTTTACTCTGTTGATAGTATCCTTTGCTGTGCAGAAGCTCTTTAATTATATCCCATGTGTCAGTTTTTGCTTTTGTTGCTTGAGAAGACCGTCACTATTTTCTTCATAATCGTATGCCTTTTTTTGATGAAGCTTATTCCTAATCTGTAACTTTTACCATCATTTTAAATTGAATTCCCTGGCCCACTCTGACCCCCACCATTTCTAGTTTCAGGTCCTTACTTGCTGTAATAAAGGACAACTCATGAGTTTTGTATCCTTACCTTAAATTCAGACATCTCCCCAAATTCTTTTATTAATTCTAATAGCTTTTTTTTTTTTGGTTGGGAGTTATATTATTAGAATCTCTTGGTATTCCTAAATATATAAATCATGTCACAAATAAGTTTTCTTTTCCAAATTTTACAAGTTCTCATGTTTTTGTCTTATTTGCTACATCTCCATTTATGATAAATGATAATGCTGATAAGCAGGCATACCTAGCTAATTTTACATTTTAACTAAAATTATTTTAATGTTTTAGTTTATGACATTTACTATTAATTTTTGTTAAAGTGTTTCATATTTAAGAGGTTTTCTTCGATTCTCTATTTTACTAGAATTTTTATTTTTAATGAGAAAATGGCTACTGAATTTCTCAAATCTCTTTTTACTGTCTATTGATACATCATAAGATTTTTCTCTTTATTAATATGTAAGACCAATATGTCTTACATGGAACCATTTTTGCATTTCTGTAAAAATTCTGTTTAGTTTTGGTATATTATTCTTTGGATATATCTCTAAATCCTATTTGTTAGTATCTTACTTAAAGTTTTAAAATCTATAGTCCATGTGAAGTTAGTATACTGTTTACCTTTTTTGTTTTATCTTTTTAGTTTTAAATATTTAATATTAAAATTACACTAGGTTCATAAAGTGACTTTGGAGGCTATCTAACATTTTTAAAAGACACAGCAAATTTTCTTATAGCAATTTATCCCAAAAAAATTGTTAATATAAGAGGTACAAAGATGTTTAATATGGCATTATTTATAGTAGTAAAGAAAAAGCAAAAAAAAAAAACCCAAATCTTCCCAGAGATAAAATAAATTTTGCAGATTAATACAATGACACTCTACATAGCTTTGTATATACACACACATATCTATAAATAAGCTTAAAATTTCCCTTCAGTTACAAGTCACCTTCTAGCCTAGTCTTTGCTTGTCCCCCGTAACTATGACTACATATTACGTAACGACTAATGCCAAATAAAAGCTTTGACATGATTAGCCACTAAGAACTTTCTCTTATGTTCTTTCTTAACCACTTTCGCTTATGTTCTACCTACCAGTTCTTCTTCATAGTGTTTTACATAAGCTGTCCTTCATGCAAGCATGAAATGCATTCATATAATCACTATTTATTAGAAACTCTAAATAAAAAAAAAATGCTAGTGACCTTTTGTGGCTTTTCTTAGCTTAGCAAATCTAACTTGTAGTTTGGAAAGAAGAGATTTAATAATCACTAAATGCTAAATTACTCACATGAAGAACTACAGAATTCCAGAGCAACCAAATTATGATATAAATCTACTACACATATATTCTAGACTTTGGATTAATATGGGATTGATTTTTTTCCCAGAAAAAAATAAGAAAGTAGATTTACAGTAATCATTTACTAAAATCTTAAATGAACTACATCTGAGTATTTCTAAAAGGGACTTTCTGCTAATAGTATTACTGGTATCACCAAAAGAAAGTAAAACTTCAATTACTTTGCCCATAAGTGGTTATGATTAAAATATGAATAATTTTTTATCTTGCAGCATACCACTTCACAGCTCTTGCAGGATACCTTAACGGTTATAAACAAAACAAAGAATAGTGTTTATATGAAACATACCTGATCTTCATAACCTTCAATTTTTACTGGAGTAAACTGGTCCAAGTTATACTGTGCAAATGCACTAAAAAAAAGAAAATGGCAATTACTTAAAATTATATATTTAATGTTTTTTAAAAACAATGGTCAAAAAATTCACCCATCAATAAAGTCTCCTCCTACATTGCACACTGCAAAATAAATAAAATTGTAATTCTCCATTACTGAACTTATACTAACTACAAATAATGACATGCCTATTTTAAAAACTGAACAATGATGTCCAGCTTTCAATGTTTAGCAAAATAAAATTAAATCAGTAAATATAACTGGCCTTTTCATTCAAGAACCTGAAAATAAAGGTTAGTTACTGATAAGAGATGCATCCAATTGTTCAAGTATATATTTAGTATACCAGGAAACAGACTAGGTGCTGTAAGAGATGCAAAGAATACTTAGATACATTCTCTGATCAAAGGCCTACAGGTGAATAAAAGAGAAAATGGATAAACATAACCATAACACAAAGTATGAAGCATAGTAAGAGAATTACCAATGAAGCACTGCAAAGAATGCTTAAAAAAAAAAAAAGATTACATTCTGTTGAGGCAACAGTGAGAAGAGAAGAGAATTGGGGTAATTTCTTAATAACTGTGATACTGAAAAACCGACTTGAAAAACTGGATAGGCTCTGGTTTATGGAAATTGGAGGGATGGGCAGAAAAGAGCAGAGTGACCGTATGAGCAAAATGCCTGAGAAAATAAGTTAGGTCCAACATCACAGAAAGCACCAAGCTCAATGCCTGGCTCATAGCGGGTGTTCAGTTATACTTACTGAAATGAACTGAAAGGCTCTGAATGATGGAATAATTATTTGGGAGACAGAGCAGAGTTACAGAAGCTTTTTGAGAAAGGAGAACACAGAAGTACTTCTAAAGAAGATTAATTTGGCAGCAGTGTAGATGATGAATTGGGCAGTGGAGCAACGAGAGCCAGAAAAAGCAGTTAGGCAGTTGCTAAGGTTAAAAACCGCAGAGTGTGAGGTAGGAAATGGTGACGAGATGGATCCAAGAATAAAGCTACTCTCTATCTACTCCATAAGAGTAAAGAATAATACATTACCATATATATGTATAGAAAAAATTCTCAAGAGTATAAAATATTATCTAAAAATTGTATTTTTAAATTAAATCTAAAATCTGGGAAATCACTGTCACTTAACAGAAAGGATACTGAGAATTTCCAAACTCAGAAATACATCTCTAATCTACTTGGAAACTTCCAGATTATTCGGGATGGCCAGGCGTCCACTGAATTTTCAGGTATTAGCTCCTGAGTCTCCTCTAGAAAGGAAAGCCTGGTTGAACAAAGCATTACTGATGAGTTAATAGGAGACTAGTAAATGTAAAAATAGCAAAGTAGAATTAAATTATTAGCTGTCAAATTCTTGATACTACATGCTCAAAAAAGATGACATTGAATACAGAAGTGTACAAGGGTGAGAAAGAAAAAAGAAGCTATTCACTTCTCATTTTCCTAATTCACGAAAACTGTAATTTTCCTAAGAATAAACTCAATACAGCCAGGGCATTATTAATCCTTAAATGATTTATCCCAAAAGTATGTTTAAAACCAAGTCAATTAGAATTTTGGATTCATTTTCCAGTAAGGTCATATTTAAATAAGTTTAAACAGTAAATTGGGCCCAGGCTGGACTGAAAGCCTTTTATTGCCCGTAATATAAAACGCCATCCACCTCTAACTTGGGAGGAGGGGATAAAGGAAAAATAGGAAATCTGAAAAGGAGACAAGTAATATGAAATAGGTTAAAATTTTATCTTAAAGGCTCAAAATAAGTTAAATGGTGACAATTACACAGTACAGTGGAAAAGGTACTCATCTAGGAGTGATAATATCCAAATTTTGCTTCAACCATATCATTAACCAGTACAGGCCACCTCACTTACTTTATAGATACAAAAACAGTAGTTTGGACCAGATAAATTCAAGTGTCTTCAGGTCATAAAACTCACTTCATGCACCCACTCATCATTCCTTCATCCACCCCTCCATCTATGCAAATACTTACTGAGCTCTTATTACTATAAGCTAAGCATTCTACTAGACACGGTAAAAACAATGTTCTCCCTGCTCTTGCAGAATTCTGTCGCCCAATCAATTTCTAAGTCACCTGTTACTGTATTTAGATTTTTATACCCTTTCCATCAAGTTGTATCTTATACTTTTCTCCATGCTCTTCCCTAAGTTTAGCCACATCATTTTTCTTACTATTAAAATCCTGTTCATTTAAAACAGCTCAAAAACCACCTCTAAATAGAAATTCAAAATTTCTTCCTTTGGGTTATAAAGCCCTTTCACATGCCTCTATTGTATTTCGTTTCACTTGGTCTAATATTAAACATGTCTGACTCTCCACTGGAAAATCCCTAAAAGGCTTATTTATCTCATCATCACAGCAAAGTCTAGCAATGTCTGTTGAATAAAAAGCTATTTCTGGATGTTTCAAAGTGTTCTTGACTTGACAATACCAACTCTTCAGTATGGCTAATTTTGCTCTGAAACATACTGAGTTGGTAGCTTTTTGTAAAGATGTCCCATTACAACCACTCTAAAGAATAATTGTCATGTTTTCCCCACTACAAAAACGGTAAAGGGCAAAGAAAAAAAAAGGAGATAAAGCAACAAGGCAAAGGTGGAGGAAAGGAGGAAACATACATATATGTGGGAAAGATGTATTTGTATAAAAGAAATTCAACATCAAAAAGTGCAAGTGAAAAAGAAACAGTCTATAGCTATACACTTACCCTAGTGAAACTGCCACTGGAACACATTCTAAATGTTTTTATAATGCCTTCTAAGCTTTTGTTACGTAGTTTTGGATGGCCTCAATGATAGGTAACAAATTATTATCTTTTGAGGACAAAAGTAATTCAGAACTAAGTGGGATGAAGAACAGGGTAACACTACTTTTGCTCAGAAATTATTTCACAGAGAGGACACTGTGAACCAGAGTAATAGCATTCTAAAGTCAAGTCAATCAGTGACTTACAGTATATATTCTGTACTTCACAGACACCCAGAGATGTCTACAACATGAACTCAAATGGAGAGTTTTGAGAAATTGCATACTACTGAAGTCAATCAAACTATTTTTTTTTTTTTACTAGTAAGCAAACATTCACTGAGATTATAACTACATGCAAAGAAAATCTGAAGTTTCTAGTAAAGGTTTTGATGAGTTTTTTCTGAGGGTCATACTATAAGCATCATATTTTATCACAATTACCGATGTCCTCAAATACTCGTTTACTTAAAAGATCAGAATATCATGTATTTCCTGTTACAATGCACATGAAGTGTGGATCACAGCTGTTCCAGAAATTTGGTTTATAATAAAAGAGAAATGAAGCTCATCTTCAAATTTCTCTTACAACAAATATAATTTATTTAAATTAAATCTAACAATCATTAACAGATCAATAATTCTTTGGACAAATAAAAGTCCCATACTTTCACGTATCTTGAGTCAAATGTATAACTATTTCATGCTATTTATATAAATATGAATAGTACTCTGACTTACCAAGTTTCTCATTTCTTGACTTAAAAAAAATCCACTCATTTTTGCACCACATGAAACCCACAACTTATTTAACATAGAGAACACAAAGGAAAAGCTTACTTTGAAAGTATTGTTCAAAAACGCTGTATGTTTCCTTTGCATCCATAAGACTTTTCTCAACATGTTTTATATTATTATAAAGAAAATTAATTTTACTTTAATATATAAAAAGTTTCAATAAGCTTTAAAATATTTAGGAGCAAGTGGTCATTTACTCATAAATTGTTAACTAAAACCAAAAGGATAAACTACACTGATTCCTATGAAGCACTTTAATATAATTAATGGGTGGGAGCAACTCAAGTGTCCATTGGAAGATAAACGGATAAACAAAATGTGCTATACAGATACAACAGAATATTATTAGCCCTAAAAAGGAAGGAAATTCTGACACATGCTACAATATGGATAAACTTTGAAGATATTAGGCTAAGTAAAATAGACCAGTCACAAAAGGCAAATACTATAAGATTCTACTTATAAGAGGTACCTAGGTTGTCAAATTCATAGGTAGTTGAATAATGGTTGCCTGGGGCTTTCAAGTATCAGCTTAAAAAGATGAAAAAAGTACTGAAAATGGATGGTGGCTATGATTACATAACAATATAAAGGTATTAAAGCCACTGATCTGTACACTTAATGGGTAAAATAGTATGTTTTATGTGTATTTTTCCACAATTAAAAAACTGCTATAAATAACAGAAATTTTAATCACAAGCAAAAGCAGATATGCCCACAAGTCTGTTGAACCTCTACCTTCATAAAGGCCATTTTTTATTTTTTAAAGGCTTCAAATGTTCTAACAATAAAATCAGAGAAATTTTCCCTGTCAGATTTTTTTTTTTTTTTTTTTGAGACGGAGTCTTGCTCTGTCACCAGGCTGGAGTGCAGTGGCGCCATCTCGGCTTGCTGCAACCTCTGCCTCCTGGGTTCAAGCGATTCTCCTGCCTCAGCCTCCCAAGTAGCTGGGACTACAGGAATGTGCCACCATGCTCAGCTAATTTTTCTATTTTTAGTAGAGACGGGATTTCACCATGTTGGTCAGGATGGTCTCAATCTCTTGACCTCGTAATCCGCCTGCCTCGGCCTCCCAAAGTGCTGGGATTACAGGCGTGAGCCACCGCACCCAGCCATCAGTCAGGATTTTACATATTGGGTATTATACTAGGATGAAAAGTAACTGACTGGATGGATACTAAACTTTCTTTGTAAGAAAGAATGCACTACTTCATCATTTTCAAATGAGTAGTAGAATCGGTAAGCCTAAAATAACAGTCTCTAGACCTTATTTTGGGAGAAGTAGGGAGAGAATCAATTATTTCTCTGAAATTGCAGGATAGCTGCGAAAAGTCATGGCTGGGGTCACTGGTGCAAAGACGATGTATTAAGATTTAGAATTGCCTACTTCTTTAAATCACTCAAAAATTCAGTGTACATGTATGTGTCAGGTACTACGTTAGGCATTTATGAGTAAATAAACTCACAACTTTAAAAGCTCTCAAAAGCTATTAGGGTCAAACATAAAAGAAAATGCAAAATCTACATAAAAATGGTAGCAACCACAATTTCTTCCAACTTTGCAAATGCCAAAATACAGTATTAACTGAATGTATAAGGCACCGCTAGACACACAGTGAATAATTTCATGTCATAGTTGTACCTCTAAGTCCTTCTGTGATAAAAAATATTTTTCTCCTACCCTGGCTAGGATATATAAAATCATACACATTTGAACTTGATGTGCAAATATCTATGTCAGAGATTAGTGCTTTAAAAACACTTTTAGGCCGGATGTGGTGGCTCACGCCTGTAATCCCAGAGCTCTGGGAGGCTGAGGCAGGTGGATCACGAGGTCAGGAATTCAAGACCAGCCTGGCCAATAAGGTAAAACCCCATCTCTACTAAAAATACAAAAATTAGCCAGGCGTGGTGGTGCGCGCCTGTAGTCCCAGCTACTCGGGAGGCTGAGGCAGAAGAATCGCTTGTACCCGGGAGGCAGAGGTTGCAGTGAGCCGAGATCGCACCACTGAACTCCAGCCTGGACGACAGAGTGAGACTCCATCTCAAAACAAAACAAAAAAACCCACAAAAAACCCCCACACACTTTTAAAGCATCTCTCGTTTTCCCATGTCATTTTAGTTAGGTTAGTATGATAAATAATACTTACTGGGCTGCTCCTTCCCTGAGAAGATTGTCATTATTAAGCAGTAACCGAACATCTGCAAAACAATTATGTTATCTACATTATTATTGTTATATGTTTCAAGAATGTAATGAACGCAGATTGTTTTGGTGATGTATTAACACCTCCCACCCCAAACACAAGCAAGATCAAAATATCACTCATGACCAAAATAACCAAACACACAACATAGTATTAAAAAAAAAAAAAAGGTTTTGGTTAGTAAATATGAAGGGGAATGAAATAGAAATACATACTTGTTTACACCCTTAACAGTCAATGCAGGCAGACTAAAATCCAAGCTTGTCCAACCCATGGCCTAGGATAGCTCTGAACGCAATCCAACACAAATTTGTAAACTCTAAAACATCGTGAGTTTTTTTTTTTTAAGCTCATCAGCTATTGTTAGTGTATTTTATGTGTGGCCCAAGACAATTCTTCTTCTTCCAATGTGTCCAAAAGATTGGACACCCCTGCTATATGTAATGTATCTCCAAGGAACTAAAGGGGAGATGAGCTCCACTGGAAATATGGTATGTTAAAGTCTGCAGAAAAGATTTAGGATTATTCTTATTTTTGAAGGTGACTTCAAAAATAGCATTTTTATTGAAAAAAATCCAAGCACTTTGTAAAACATAAAAGAAAAAAGTCACGTACGGCTCTCATCAAAAAACCAAATTCTTTTCTAGTCTTACTGTATTTTCTTTCATTATTTTTCCTAAGCACCTGGCTATTTTACTTAGTTGCAATTATAAAGTAAATAATACAATGTATTCTAATTTTTCATTAGATGAAAATAACACAAACAACCTAAATATCTTCCATTAAGAAACTGGTTAAATGTAAAAAGACTATAATTCTTACATAGAGTGTGAAACTAGGCAGCCATGAAAAATAATGTACACTTATATTTACCAACATGGAAATACATTTGTAATATAATAAACAGGAAGAGAAAAATTTAGTATGTATATTATCATATTTATGTATTGTTAAATATACTTGTTAGTTGAGAGATGTTTGAAGTAATTCATTTGAACAACAGGGAACTGGAAGGTAGAATTTTTTGTGAAGTTTAGATTCTTTTTTGTACTTTGGAAAGTTTACAATGACTATGAATCATTTTTACAATAAAGCCATTTCAAAAGAAAAAACCCACTGCCTATTCACATACCTCACCTCTTTTCAGCAACAGGTCCTTATTTAAAAAACAATATCCTGGCCGGGTGTGGTGGCTCATGCCTGTAATCCCAGCACTTTGGGAGGCCGAAGAGGGTGGATCACGAGGTCAGGAGATCAAGACCATCCTGGCTAACACGGTGAAACCCCGTCTCTACTAAAAATACAAAAAACTAGCCGGGCGTGGTGGCGGGCACCTAGGGTCCCAGCTGCTTGGGAGGCTGAGGCAGGAGAATGGCGTGAACCCGGGAGGCGGAGCTTGCAGTGAGCCGAGATCACGCCACTGCACTCCATCCTGGGCAACAGAGCGAGACTCCATCTCAAAACAAACAAACAAACAAAAAACAATATCCTTTGCTAACCACTGAAATAATACTATTTTAATTTTGAAATTAACTGATTTTAAACAATGGATGCTTCTGCCTAAAAAACTATTTTAAAAAATAGAGAAATTTATAATTACTGTTATTTTTATCCCACAAAGTGGGAAGTTCTATTTGATAAATTTATCATCAATAGTTTAAACATAATGAACAGCGATATTGCATGGACAGTATGCCTATTCCAGTTCCAAATGGGTAAATGATTGAAAAACAAGATCTATTTGTCAGCTCTACTCTGGAAAAAAATAATAAATCCATGCTTTTATCATAAGAAGAGTAGAAGAAATAAAAAGAGGATAATTTGAATAAAATATTTCTCTTAAAGAAGAAATCAGGCTGTGGCTCCAAGTCAGGCAACACATAAACCACAGGGTGGAGGACAGGAGATGTAAGGAATGTAGATTTCAGAGCCCTAGTCCAGATCTATGACTATATGTTTGAGATGTTTGAGAATGAAGACCAGAAATCCATGTTTCGATGATTCTAACACAGTCAGCCTAGGAAACAGCATTTGGGAACCATCTAACTGTTAAGGTTTTATTAACTTTGTAATTCTAAAATTTTGTGGCTCTTTTTGGAATCATTCTGACACTGTGGTTTTCAATAAAAATAGAAAATAATCACATTCATATCATATTTACCTTCAAATATTTAATTCTTTTCTAACTCTTTTTTTTTTTTTTTTTTTTTTGAGACAGAGTCTCACTCTGTCACCCAGGCTGGAGTGCAGTGGCGCGATCTTGACTCAATGTAACCTCCGCCTCCTGGGTTTGAGCAATTCTCCTGCCTCAGCCTCCTGAGTAGCTGGGATTCCCAGGCATGCACCACCCACACCCTGCTAATTTTTGTATATATGTGTGTGTGTGTGTGTATATATATATATATATATATATATATGTGTATATATATATATATATATATATATATATATATATATATATATTTTTTTTTTTTTTTTTAAGTAGAGACAGGGTTTCACCATGTTGGCCAGGCTGGTTTTGAACTCCTGATCTCAGGTGATCCACCGGGCTTGGCCTCCCAAAGCGCTGGCATTATAGGCATGAGCCACCATGCCCACCCTTTTATCTAACTCTTAAATATTCTTTCAGTTAAAATTTATTAGATAAATCCTATATCCCCACTTCTATTCCATAGCTTACCCTCTACCCAGGCCTATTTAATAGGCTCATCCTAAATGCCCAAATTTACTACAACTCAACAGAGAATATATTAACTCAATGTCAATTTTAAATGAGACTTAGGAAAGCAATTTCTAGGATGCATACATTCTTTTAGGACTTTCCTGATTAAATATGCAGGGCATTTAACTCAAGGTAAGAAAAGTATGTAGAAAATTTTTCTTAAAATTCTGTTTATTCTTGGCTCTGTGAATTGTAATTGGGAAGCTACTGACTTTAGTGCAGTCTCACCATTATCAATTTAAGTTACATGCCACTTTTTGACCCTAAGGAGGAAGAGACTATCTTCTTTAATCCCCCAACCATCAAATGTATTAATGTATATGTAGGTTACAGAACCTGAATATTAAAAAAGAAGTGAAATCTTACACGAAGTAAAAGTACTTCTGAATTCTCTCCAACTCCCTAGTTCACTACATGAGATTTTGTAGTTATATTAAACAGCAGATTTTAATTTCTGGATTTTTTTACAATGCCAATTCTCCATTCTGCCTTCTAAGTACAGCTCAGTAGTTAAATTTTAAAATGCATAAGAACTGCCATATGTAATTGTATGCACTAAATCATGTATTATTGTAGTTTGTGGATGACCTCAGGGATTTCTAGGGTAATTTTAACTTTATACAACTTTTGCCTCACTTTCTGACTTTCAAAACTAATCTTTTCTGAGGTGAGATTCCATTATATCTTTTTTTTTTTTTTTGGTAGAGATGGGGAGGGGGGCCTCACTATGTTGCCCAGGCTGGTCGCAAACACCCAGCCTCAAGCAATCCTCCTGCCTCAGCCTCCCAAAGTGTTGGGATTACAGGAGTGAGCCACAGTGCCCAGTCCTATATCTTATACTAAGAAAAAAAAATGATTAAACTTCTTAAAAAACATTTAACTAGTTTACTATGGAGTAGAATGTTTAAAAAACGGAAACTGAAGAGCTCTGTGTAAATTCACTTTTAAGACACGGTGAAGTTCAAATGTATATGAAGAAGAAACAACAACACATTTATAGATAGTACTTGAAAGTAATGTATTTTTCTAACTACTTAAGAAGTTTTATAAAGAGATCACTACAGGCCATTTTTCTTTCAGGCATGTTGTTCTTACTGCTGAGGAGCAGCTATTGCTACAGTCTATAGTAACCAGGAGACTTTACAGCAGTTTAAATTTCAGATCTATGGGTGAATAATTATAAAAACGTCTGCCAGTGAAGTTTAAAGGAACGCATACTGTGAAGTGATTTACAAGACATAATTTAAATAACAAATTGTTTTTACATGTGCTATCATGCTCTATGCAGGATGAAAATGTTTTTTCCCTTTTTCTTTTGGCTATTCATACCGATCTCATAGGATTTTCTTTAAAAGAAATACAAAAATTCCTTTCACAATTCCAAAAAATATATGGTCATGATGAAACTTTTTTTTGTTTGTTTGTTTTTGTTTTTTTGAGATAGGGTCTCACTCTGTTGCCCAGGCTAGAGTGCAATGGGTGTGATCTCGGCTCTCTGCAACCTCCTGAGCTCAAATGATTCCCCAACCTCAGCCTCTCAAAACAGGAGCATGCCACCACACCTGGCTTTTTTTTTTTTTTTTTTTTTGGTAGAGACAAGGTTTCACCATACTGCCCAGGCTGGTCTCGAACTCCTGGTCTCAAGTGACCTGCCTGCCTCATCTTCCCAAAGTGCTGGTATTACAGGAGTGAGCCACTGCACCTGGCCTGTTGTCTTTTTAAACTATTTAAGAGTTCTATTGAAGAAATATCTACTATATGCGTTTATAGTTTTACTTAAATAAAACCATTTACCAAAAAGACTCTCCTTTCCCAGAATGAGGATATATTCTAGTCAGTGATATGAATAAAATTTATTTCAGGCTTTAAAAGGGTTAATTTGCTAACAGAATCATCATATATAAATAAATACATTATATTCTAGCCATTACAAAATCCAGACTAACATATTGTCATTGTAATTCAGAAAACACAGATTTTTCTGCATACTGTCCTTAGCTTATTTTGATTATTTTGGTTTTCTTTTAAAAAGAGGGCTTGATATATCAAGCCTAGTGTTATAAATCAAACACTCACCATTGAAAACCTCATTAAATTCTCCAGGAGGGGCATGAATGATGAATTTTGCTGCTATACGCACCTGAAACAGAAAGAAAGATATAAATGTTCCATATCACAGGCTTCTGCTAAAATAAGCACAAAACATGCAAAATTATATTATTTCAAAGCTCTACTGAAAATGGCTTAAGATTTTAAATACAGTGATACTTTTTCACTCAATCACCTTAAGATCACTACTGTTTCAATAATTTAATATAATCACAACATACAGACTGAATGTAGATAAAATATACAATACTGAATGAATAAAGATTCAAAGCTGCTTACAGATAAACAATTTCTTATTTTATTTAACTTTAATTTTTTATTTTTTGAGATGGAGTCTCACTCTGTTACGCAGGCTAGAGTGCAGTGGCACAATCTCAGCTCACTGCAACTTCTGCCACCTGGGTTTACGTGATTCTCCTGCCTTGGCCTCCCAAGTAGCTGGGACTACAGGCGCGTGCCGCCATGCCCAGCTAATTTTTTGTATTTTTAGTAGAGATGAGGTTTCACTATGTTGGCCAAGCTGGTCTTCAACTCCTGACCTCAAATAATCTGCCTGCCTCAGTCTCCCAAAGTGCTGGGATTACAGGTGTGAGCCACCACATCTGGCCTATTTTATTTCATTTTTTTTTTGGAGGCAGGGTCTTGCTCTGTCACCAGGCTGGAGTGCAGTGGTGTGATCTTGGCTCACTGCAACCCCTGCCTCCTGGGCTCAAGCCATCCTCCTACCTCCGCCTCCTGAGCAGCTGGGACTACAGGCACGTGCCACCACACCTGGATAATTTTTTGTATTTTTGATAGAGAAGGGATCTCACTATGTTATCCAGGCTGGTCTTGAACTCCTGAGTTCAAAGGATCCTCCCATCTCAGCCTCCCAAAGTGCTGGGATTACAGGCGTGAGCCAGTACACCTGGCCAACAATTTCTTATAAGGAATTTTATTTCTTCTAAACTAAAGTGAAAAAAAAATCAATGACAAAATTTTCTATGTGTGAAGACAAGACGCATTTAGGCATAAATAAAATGAAGAACAATGACATACATATTTGATTAAAAACTCACAAATTAGTAAAACATGTAGAAAAAAAGGAGAAAGGAAAAGTTTAAGTTCAAAAGGTTTAACAGGAGACCTGACCAGATCTTAGGAAATCTTAGTTCAAAGACAAGTAGGAGATTGAACATCAACAGGTGTGCTAACAGGCATATTTTAAGAGAATAAAGCCTATTTTGATAAAGAGATTAATCACTAATGAAAATATATCTGAGAGGGTAGATGATGTGCCCAACATAATAGTTTAGTGAAAGCACCTTATGTATAGGAGCCATCCAATCACACTACATGGTACCTGTGAATAAGCTGAGGTAGTGTCCCTGAAAGTGTAGTCCTTAGGCAAGCAGCCTCAGCAGCACCTTGTCAAAAGTGCAAATTCATTGGCCCCAGACCAACTGACTGAATCAGAATCTCTGGAGACAGGTCCTGGGAAACACCATTTAAACAACATCTCCAGGTGATTTTTATGCACATTCAAGTACTCACTGTATGAAGGGACCATCCTTGGCAAAAACAAAGCCTTGATTTATTTTTATATCTACCACTTTGATAGCACTATCATTGCTTTGATGTAGAAACTAAAAATAATGGAAAGAAAAGGAAATGGCTGTGTGTGTTTGTGTATGTGTTATGTGTGCATGTACATGTATCTAAGCACAGATACCATTTTCAGAGGAGAGAAACATGGAAAAAAGGTATAGATGGCTAGAATGAAGATGTTCCTAGTTAGAGGTCACATGTATGACAAGGCCTTCAAAAGGTTAGAAAACATCTATTTAAGACAAAGGGAATGTTTGTAGTTTTGAACTTGAGAAGCAGCATTTTGTAATTAATAGAACTTTAGGTTCTGGAATCAGACTGACAGTTACCTAATCTCCTCTACTTTAGCTATCTCACCTAAAAAGTGCATATAAAATAGTAACTAGCTCATAGAATTTTTGGGAAGAGTAAATGATCTAAAGTACTTGGTAAGCACTAATTTAAATACCATTTTTGTTATCATCTTATCATCTTTTTGTTATCTATCTGGTATCTGACATCAATCATAGATTCTGCTTCAAACTTCTTAGTGTTCCAAACTAATGTTGACTGATAGCTTCAGGGTGGGGCTGGTCACTGAAAGAGGAGGCAAGATTAGAGGGCTGGGACTTCTGACCCACCTCCTAACCTCCACTCCAGGGAGGGGAGAAGGGCTGAAGGTTATGTTTATTACCAGTCGCCAATGGTTTAATCAATCATGCCTACATAATAATGCCTCCATAAAAACCCATAAAGAGGGTTTGGAGAGCTTCGGAAGAGCTGAACACATGGAGGCTCCTGAAGGGTAGTGTGCCTGGGGAGAGCATGGAGGCTCTGATCCCCTCCTCCATACCTCACCCTATGCATCTCTTCATCTGTATCCTTTACAATAAACTGGTAAATGTAAGTAAGCATTTCCCTGAGTTCTGTGGGCCACTCTAGCAAATTATTGAACCTGAAAAGGGGGTTCTGAGAATCTGGATCTATAGCTGGTCAGTCAGAAGTTCCTAATGCCCGGACTTGTGACTGGTGTCTGAAGTGGGGGAAGGAGCAATCTTGGGGACTCAGCCCTCCACCTGTGGGATGTGACTATCTCCAGGTAGATGGTATTGGAGTTAAATTACATGACACCCAGCTGGTGTCCGCTGTAGAACTGATTGCTTGATTTTTGGTGGGGGACTCCCACCTCTCCCCACCAAACACTGGGTCACAGAAGTGTTCTGTGTTGATTGTTGTGCTGAGTGGGAGAATACAAAAAAAAAAACATAGGTGTTTTGTCCACACACAGACATGATACCAAAACCATGATCCATTAAAAACAACAACAACAACAAAAAAAAAACTAGTGAGCTGGACTTATTCAAAATGTAAAACCTGCTCTGTGGAAGACTTCTGTTAAGAGAATGAAAAGACAAGTTTACAAACTGGAGAAAATATTATCAAATGGCATATTCAACAAAGGATTTTTATTCAGAATATATAAAGTACCCACAAGACTCCAAAAGTAAGAAAACAGTAAGCAGAGGACTTGAATAGACACTTCGCCGCCAAAGAGTATATATAAGACAGATAAATGCACAAAAAGATGCTTAATATCATTAGTCAGTAGAGAAATGAATATTGAAATCACGAAATACTACTACATACCTAATAGTATGGCTAAAATAAAAAGGACATAACACCCAGTGCTGGTGAGGATGCAGAACAGGAACTCTCATACATTTCTGTGGAAATGCAAAATCATTCAACCAGTATGGAAAACAGTTTGGCCATTTCTTATAAAATTAAGCAAGCACACACCACAGGACACAGCAATCCCACTCCTAGGTATCTACCCTTCAGAAATGCAAACTTATTTTCATATAAAAACTTATACATAATTGCTCAAAACTGGAAATAATCTACCACCCAAATGTCCATAAATGGGTGAACAGACAAATAAACCATGGTATATCTACACAATGAAATATCACTCAGCAATAAAAACGAACAAACCATTAATATATGTGACAACTGAAATGAACCTCAAAAGCATTATGCTGAATGAAATAAGTCAATCTCAAAAGGTTACATAGTAACTCTACAGTATTCCCTATATATGACATTCTCAAATAAACAATATTAGAGCAATGACGAAAAGATGAATGGTTGCTAGAAGCTGAGGGGTGGGGAAGGGGAAGAGTTTGACTACAAACAGAGAAATGAGACGAGGAAAAAGAAACAGAGTTCTGGGGTGGATGGAACTGTACTAGTATGTATCTAGATTTTGGTAGTGATTACATTGATCTATACATGTGCTAAAAGTCATCAAAAAAGAGTACTCACTATATGCTAATTGAAAAAATAAATTTTTTTATGTGTTTTCAAAACATATTGCTTCTAAAACGTTTAAGAGTACTATTAAAATGTAAAGTATAAATAGCAATTTTAAAAAGGCAAGGAGAGAGTAGGGTATAGGCCATTGTGCATGCCAAACATACACTGGAGTCTATTATGATTACGTAAGTATCTTCATTTCCTTATCCCCTTTCTGCCCCATCCCCTTCCTATTGAGAGAAGGAGTTGTTAGGAAGTATTTATACTGAAGTCTTGATCACTATCACAGGCAAAAATTAAAAATGTGATAACAGAACACTTTTAGAATTTTGAGGTAATTATTTTTAATACTCCTAATGACTTATACAAACACTACCTATAAAACTGGCTAAATTAAATTCCTGATAGCAAGCAGCACACATATAGCATATTTAGTAATGCATTTAACTAGTTGAGCTTTAAAAATTTTAGTTGTTTCCAAAAAAGGCAATATACCATTTAGAATTTTCGTCAGCTCTATTTTGGGTTTTCACCAAGAAAGCAAAAATGATCTGTACTGCATTTTTATCCTATGAACTTATTTGCCCTTGCTGTTGCACTAAATGTACACAGTAATCAAAAGGTATTACTGGACTTCCACAACATCCAAAGTGAATGGTGGGTCAAAAGTACCACTAAGGGTTGGGAGGTCAAGGGAGCAGACTGGCTGAGAACCCCAAACACAATGTGGATTAAACCAGCCGTGCCTGAAATACTTTAATCTGGTTCTTTCTGATTTTCAAAAGGTAAGAATCTGACCTTTGGATTTCTCAGGCCCTAGACAAAAGAAAGGATGTCTCTCACAGTAAAAGTTTTGACTGTTTTCCTAAGAAGATATTGTTCAACCATCCAGGTATTTTTTATCCACTGCTACAGACTCAACATTCCTCCTCGCTGACTTTAATTTTAAAAATTATTTATTCTAGCTCATTTCTAAATGCAAAAAAGAAAAAAAAAATACCAGTTAACAATAGGTAGGTCCCAAGAGTAGAATTTCTGAAAATAATTACAAATGTATTTCCTTAAAGTTTATCTAACAAACATGGAGGGTAAGTGAATACATTCTATTTACCGTTGGGAATTATAGCTTTTTAAAAAGAATCTAGTGAGTTATTAGATACATTTCTAGGCCCACTGCTAAATGTTTTTTTTCCTTATCCACCATCTTCCTCCACATGTTATTCTTCAAAGTCAATTCTGGACAAACTGGAGTCAAAATCACGAAAGAGTTATTAGTTTTATTTTATTTCTAATCTAATTCTGGATTTTCGGGGCATGGTTTTGTTGGGGACCAGTGGCTACAGGTGGGAGATTAACTCTATCCCTCCATGATAAAGTCCCTGGCAGCTGACAAGCATACCTCACAACAATCACATCAAGAAGTATAGAGTGGTTTTGAAAAGTTAACCTATAGAGATTCAAGTATAACCTGAGTTAAATCTTGAAATTACATTTTTTCTCTTGATTCCAAATATTATGTGGTATGAAATATACACATAAGTAACAAATATAACATAAAAAATATGCTCCATTCTATTGCGCTTCTTGTAGAAGAGCACACATCACTAGTCACTATAAAGTGACCTATACAGAAGATAAAATTGGGGTGTTCAAAAAATATCCAAAATACATGTGAGCCCTGAGAAAAAAAATAATTTCTGCCCATCAACTGTCTGAGACAATACAAACGTATTACTGTCAAACAATATTTTTTCGTATCTTGTTTTTCTTATGGGCTTACTTTTTTGTAAAAAAAAATAATAATAATAATTCTTCAAGCAACCCATTCCATAATGGTAGTAATGAATGGTAACCCACAGAATAAAACAAGAATCTATGAGTCCATACTGGCATAAAGAAATAAACTAACAAATGGAGGAAAATGAAAAGCCCTTCATCATAGAATTCCAATTAATAAATGTAAAAGGAGGGACTGAATTAGAAAACCACCTTGGGTGACCACCACAGTAATTCTAGCAAGCAAAAAATCATCAAGGGAGGCTAAAGTTGGTGGGCAGAATAATAAAACAACAGGATATTTACATTGTTTGTAAGTATCTTCCCAGGTGACACTTAATTACTAAAGAATAGTAATTTTACATTGAGGAAACTCGCCATACACCACCTTTACCAAATAAATGATCAAAGTTATCAACAGTAATAAGAAAAACTGAAAAACTGACATCAAGTGCCCCCTGAGAGTATATACTGAGAACATATCACTTCTGTGACACTCCTGCCAAAAATTCATAGGCTGAATCTAATTATCAGGAAACAAACTAAACTTGAGGGACAGCCTACAAAATAATCAGTCTGTACTCTTCAAAAGAGTTAGGGTCATGAAAAATAAACAATGCTGAGAAACTGTTCCAAATTAAGCAAGACCAGAGACATTACAACAAAATTCAATGTGATTCTGGTTTAGATCCTGGACCAGGGCGGGGGTGGAGGGGAAGGTGCATTAGTGATGTAATTTTTTTTTTTTTTTTTTTTTTTTTGAGACAGAGTCTCACTCTGCTGCCCAGGCTGGAGTGCAGTGGTGCGATCTTGGCTCACTGCAAGCTCTGCCTCCCGGGTTCATGCCATTCTCCTGCCTCAGCCTCCCAAGTAGCTGGGACTACAGGCACCCACCACCACGCCCGGCTAATTTTTTGTATTTTTAGTAGAGACGGGGTTTCACCGTGTTAGCCAGGATGGTCTTGATCTCCTGACCTCGTGATCCGCCCACCTTGGCCTCCCGAAGTGCTGGGATTACAGGTGTGAGCCACTGTGCCCAGCCTGATAATTGTACTGTAGTTTTGTAAAAGAATGCCCTGAATACAGTCAAGTATTTAAAGACTGGGGAAAAAAATTCCTTCTCTACTCTGAGGTTGCATGGTTTCTCCTGTATTTTTTCTAACTTTAAAGTTTTGCTCTTTGTACTTAGTTCTTCAATCTGTCCAGGATTGATTTTTGTGTCTGATGTGCGATAGGGCTCTATTTCTTTTTTATTATACTGTTATATGGATAAAAAGAAGTTAGCAGTCATCATTCAAGTAGTAATTGTTAAGAATGTGACTTCCTCAAGAAAGCCCTAAATATTCAATAATATTAGCAGGCAGCAAGAAGTGATGTTATTCTAGAATTTAATAGAGGCTTTGGTTAACACTACAAAAATATCCATGTAAGTAATGTGAAAGCAAATTAATATTCTAATCCTCCTCACCAACTGACTTTAAAGACTTTCCATGGTCACTGTGGTGGATCACGCCTGTAATCCCAGCACTTTGGGAGGCCAAGGTGGGCAGATTGCCTGAACTCAGGGGTTGGAGATCAGCCTGGCCAACAGGGAGAAACCCTGTCTCTACTAAAAAATACAAAAATTAGCCAGGTGTGGTACTGGACACCTGTAATCCCAGCTACTCAGGAGGCTGAGGCAGGAGAATCGCTTGAACCTGGGAGGATGCAGTGAGCCGTATCACACCACTGCACTCCAGCCTGGGCGACAGAGCAAGACTGTCTCAAAAAAAAAAAAAAAAAAAAAAAAAAAAAAAAAAAAAAGGCAGGTTACAGTGGCTCATGCCTATAATCCCAGCACTTTGGGAGGCCGAGGCGGGTGGATCACTTGAGGTCAGGAGTTCAAGACCAGCCTGCCCAACACGGTAAAAAACCGTTTCTACTAAAATACAAAAATTAGCTGGGCACGGTGGCAGGTGCCTGTAATCCCAGCTACTTGGGAGGCTGAGGCAGGAGAATTGCTTGAATCCGGGAGGCAGAGGTTGCAGTGAGCCGAGATCACGCTATTGCACTCCAGCCTGGGCAACACAGTGAGACTCCCTCTCAAAAAACAAAAACAAAAACAAATTCTAGTAGGCATTGCTGCAGTTCACAATGAGCCATCATCCCCTTAAAATCAAGTTAAATAATTCTGGATTAAATAGAGGATTCTAATTACTTGAGTTCTGATTAATTAAAATGTAAGTTTACAATTATTTGAACCAACTCATGATTTTTGAAACTCAAAAATAAACTGTTCTAGTTTAGACTTTATAATAAAGCAAGACAAATGAGTACTTTTTTGATATGGCATCTATGGTTAAATATATTTACCTTCATTTACTTTAAAAAAAAATTGGCCAACTTTCCAGGCCCTCTGCTTTCAAAATCCTCAAAGTGTAGCACTGACTTAGTCTGGGAAGAAAAAAAAATCAATCAGAGCGGGAGAAACTGCCTATATACTCCCATATCTGAGTGCTTAGAATGGTGCCTGGCAAATAGCAGACCCTCAAATATTAGCTGAATAAATAAACATTAAATCTCCCTTCAAGGCAGAATCTGTTTCCTCTGCCCCATACTCTGTACTCAGTAGCTACTGATTACAGGTTGAATAAATCTATAAGCACGAATAAATTCCTATTTATTCAAAATGGTGAGGGAATGTAGTATTTCAATGAAATGAACATTTTGAGAGTTATCACTAATGCAATTCTGTAGATCAGGGGTCCCCAAACCCCAGGCCACAGACAGGTACCAGTCTGGGGCCTGTTAGGAACCCGGTCACACAGCAGGGAGGTGAGGAGTGGGCAAGCAAGCATTACCACCTGCACTCTGTCTCCTGTCAGATCAGCAGCAGCATGAGATTCTCATAGGAATGCACACCCTATTGTGAACTGTGTATGCGAGGGATCTAGTTTGTGCACTCCTTATGAGAATCTAATTAATGTCTGATGATCTGAGGTGGAAAAGTTTCATCCCAAAACATTCCCCCATCCATCCCCACCCCGCTATCCCCTGTGGAAAAATTGTCTTCCATGAAATGGGTCCCTGGTGCCAAAAAGGCTGGGGACTGCTGCTGTAGATAGATTGTTAATTTTCAAATAATTTACATTCAAAAATCACAAAAACTTATCCTAATAAAAAGAAACAGTTTGGTGTAATGGTTTACAGTATGATCTCTGGAGCCAGACTGACCCAGGCTGGATTTCTAACCTCTACTAGTCATTAGCGATGTGACCTTGGGTGAATAAATAATATTAGCTATTATTATTAGCAGCAATAGCAGTAGATAAGAAGTATGCCTGCATTAGCATAGTCCCAGTATTCTTTTCTTTTTTTTTTTTTTTTTTTTTTTTTGAGACAGAGTTATGCTCTGTCGCCAGGCTGGAGTGCAGTGGCACGATCTCCGCTCACTGCAACCTCTGCCTCCTGGGTTCAAGTGATTCTCCTGCCTCAGCCTCCTGAGTAGCTAGGATTACAGGCACGTGCCACCATGCCCGGCTAATTTTTGTATTTTTAGCAGAGATGGGGTTTCATCATGTTGGTCAGGCTGGTCTCAAACTCCCGACCTCGTGATCCACCAGCCTTGGCCTCCCAAAGTGCTGGGATTACAGGTGTGAGCCACCACGCCTGGCCAATATTCTTAAATATAGACCTGGAATACAGACATTTTCAAGTGATTATATGTTAGTTTCTTTGTGTCCTACACTGTTCAAGAGTGGCTTATGCCCATGTATTACTGTGTTGTCTGCAGTGCATTCACTTCCCATACATCAACATCCTTTCTTCTTACTTGGGATGTCACCCTTCCCCCTCCACTTGACCCTGCTCACTTCAAACACCAGTAATAGCAACACAGGAGAGAAAGATGGTGGCAATGCGCAGTTAAGATGTGGGGCTTTACATAAGTAAAGGCAAATGATCTGTAGCCAAGATTTTGTTTCTATTTTAACTTCTGTAAACCTCAGTTTTCAAAGGTAAAAACTAAGGGAGATGACATGCATCATTATTTCTCAACTCTTATACCTCAGGCCCTAATAAAATATTATCTATGATTATTCTGATATAGCTGATATTACCCTTAATTTATGAAAGAGAAAACAGAGATCCAGAATTAAGATCTGAATGAAGTCTCTGGATGAAGTCCTCAGCTTTTTACATAGCTGCCTCCCAATACAGCGTAAGTCTTCTATGACGATTCTTTTGTGAGGAACAAAATAAATCTCTAGGTAATCCATTTCCATTGCTTCCATCATCACCACACAGTAACTCTCAAATGTACACACCTATCATAACCTCATTCAAGACAAAGATCCTATCCTTTTTCTAACTATAATTTATCTATTAGAGATCTCCATCAAAATGCCTCAAAGATACCTTGAACTTATCATTCAAATGTATTGCCTTCTGTTCTGATAAAATTATTGCCACTACTTAGAAATCATTCCGCACTTCTCTCCTACAGTCAGTCACATGATCAGCGAGTGTCTCTTGCTCAAGTCCATTCCCCTTTTATTTGATTCCATTCCATTTTATTCAGACCCAGGCACTTTGTTTCTGGATTGTTATAAAGCTGTCCTGCCTCTGGCCTCATCTTTCTCCAAAATTCATTTTCCACCTTGCCACCAGACTGGTATTTTTCAATGCAAATTCTGATTTTTCTTCCCTGTCAAGATCACTCGATGGTTCCCCAATGCCAACAAGATTAAGTTCAAAATCTTTAGCATGATATATAAGGCTCTTCTAAGGCTGTAAAATATTAACTGTTAACAGCAAAAGCTCTTAAATAACATTAAGCAGGGATTCAGACTACAGCTCCACTGCTTACTACCTGCATGACCTTAAGCAAACTAAATTCAGTTTCCTCACTAGCAGTAAATGAGATAATACACTTAGAAAAGTGCTTGGCACAGAGCAAGCACTCAAATAATGGCTATTACTACCTTTGCAATCTTTCTGCCACTTTCTAGCTCCTACAACCTATCCATTCTTTCTCATCCCACATATACACAGAACTGGAGCCTTATCACTCCATTAGGTCTCTCAAACAAGAACTCTCGTCTTCCCGCTTGCCATATCACTTCATATACATGATTTGGCCATCTTTTTATCTACTGTGGTGAAACTGCACACAGCAGCAGAATATCTTAAACTTTGCAAAGTATCAGAAGAAAAGGTCATACAGAAAGGAAAACTCTAAGATCAAATTATACTATTAAAAACTTCTTGGTATATTATTTAGTACAGCAATCATTAGCAAATACCTTTGATAACTGGCTAGCACTATTGAGACTTGCGGTTTAAAGACTAAAATTAAGGCTCAATATTACGTGTGCCTTGACACTTAGGGAAAACAGGGAGAGCCCTGAATGGCCTAACTGCAAGTTCTCCTCACTCTGCTCCCACAGATAAGGTCCCCTAGCCAAACAATCTTTTATCACAGGGAACAGACACAGTTCCTTCTTATCTCTGAGTAGCAAGCTTTGGGTCCCGGCCAGCCCTTGGAATTATCAAACAATGAATGGATCACGTCCTGAGAACCAGGGATCACTCCACCCTCTTGATACTTACTAAAGTCTGCCTCCTACAGCCCCTGACTGTTCACTCCGTCCTCAAGCACAACTCCCATGTGGGCCTGCGTGGTGTGCTGTCTCCTCTCTCCTGGGCTGCTGAGTATTTGTGATTAATAAACTGCTGTCAATCTCATCTGTCCAGTGTCAGGTTTTGTATGTTCTGTCAACCTCCCAATTCCAGGGCAAGAACCCCTCCCTCACCAATGGAATGAAGAGGAGGCAATTAAAACAAGATCTCACTTACCTTACCGGTGAAGCCTGAATTTAAGATATGTAACTGGGGACATATCAAGGCACACAGGAAGCAAGGAATTCAGATACTCAAAAATATGTTTTAAGAAAGCAAATAAGGTCTAAAAGCAAATATAGTCTAAACATTAGAAGAGAACATGAGATTCTCCACAGATCATATTATTTTTATCTCAGACATAAATTTACAAGTGTGATTATCTAGTTTCCTATCAGCCAATGGATGTGAAGGGAGGAGAGAAGTGGTTGACATACAACAACGTTTTAACTAAGGAAGATCTGAGCCAACCTGACAAAGGCTGCAGAAAATGAAGTTCCTTCATAGGAACGAAAACATTAGAAACTGAGCCCTGAAATTCAGGAGCCAGTCAAACCTCTTGAGTGCTCTAAACTTTTTTTTTTTTTTTTTTGAGATGGAGTCTCTCTCTGTCACCCAGGCTGGAGTGCAGCGGCGCGAACTCCGCTCACTGCAAGCTCCGCCTCCTGGGTTCACACCATTCTCCTGTCTCAGCCTCCTGAGTAGCTGGGACTACAGGTGCCTGCCACCACACCAGGCTAATTTTTGTATTTTTAGTAGAGACGGGGTTTCACTGTGTTAGCCAGGATGGTCTCGATCTCCTGATCTCGTGATCCGCCCGCCTCGGCCTCCCAAAGTGCTGGGATTACAGGCATCAGCCACCGCGCCCGGCCTCTAAACTTCTATGTAACTGAATTTTTATTGAAGAATCCAAGTTTACATCAATAAATACCTCAGATGAAAATAATGATCAGAACTTTGAGTTACGGGATAACATAAACATTTTAAAATGTCCAATTTGGCCAGGTGCCATGGCTTACACCTGTAAAATCCCAACACTTTGGGAGGCTGGGATGGGAGGATCACTTGAGTCCAGCCTGGTCAACATGGTGAGATCCTGTATCTACAAAAAATTTAAAAAAAAAAAAATTAGCCAGGCATGATGGTGAGCACCTGTGGTCCCAGCAACTTGGGAGGCTGAGATGGGAGGAGCACTTGAACCTGGGAGGTCAAGGATACAGTGAACCATGACTGTGAAACTACACTCCAGCTTGGCTGACAGAGCAAGACCCTGTCTCAAAAACAAAAAATAAAAAAAAAAAACCCTCCAATTTATTGCAAATCTACTGAGACTTTGGAAGTGATCAAGTAACTGGGAAAGATTTTATGGATATTGCTAGTGGAGTGAAAGAAAATGAATTAGAAGCTCTTATATCAATTTTAGGCAATCTTCTTTCACTTGTTTCTACTCCTCAACCTGTAGAGAACTCCTTGTTAGTACACAAATTGGGAAGATAAAATTAATTTATTAAATAGTGAGAAATGTTCTTTGATGGAGCAAATTAGAAGACCTAAAATGGCCATCCTCAAAAATGAACACTTTGCCATTTGGTAGTTTGTGATTCCATTCAACCTTCTTTGGAATCCCTACAAGACTCTGAAGAAAATGAACAGATTTCAGTCATAAACAGTTCAGGCAAGGAAAGAAAAAAAAAAAAGGATATTCATCTTTCAAAACCAGATAATGTTGATTCCACTTTTTTTGTGGGGGGAGGGATGGGGTCTCACTCTGTTGCCCAGACTTGGAGTATACTGGTACCATCCCCGCTCACTGCAACCTCCACTTCCTGGGCTTGAGTGATTCTCCCACCTCAGCCTCCCAAGTAGCTGGGATTACAGGTGAGCACCACCATACCTGGCTAATTTTTGTATTTTTAGTAGAGACGGGGTTTCTCCATGTTGGCCAGAATGATCTCGAACTGCTGACCTCAAGTGATCCACCCACCTTGGCCTCCCAAAGTGCTGGGATTACAGGCATGAGCCACCGTGCCCAGCCTAATTCCATTATTCTTAGAGAGAATTCCCCAGTCCCTTCCCTTAGGAGAGAAAGGAAAGAATGCTGTTTTCTCCATCAAGTAAAAGCACAGTTCACTTTGATAAACCCCACAGGAAACTGTCTTCTGCTTTCCACTATGCACTACTTTCTTTTTGTCAAGTGTCAGGAGATGCTGCTTAGGATCAGAAGTGTCTCTGACTGCAGTGAAAAACACCTTCTGCTGATGCTTGGATATTGCTTGCTATACATTGCACTTGACGTGCTGCTGGCAAAGACAGAGACACTGATGCCCTCAGATTGTATACAACGTGCCTACATCTTGAATCTAAAAAGAAAAATCAGCTTCTCCACATTCTTTCTAGTATGATCAAGAGGCCAGATAAAGAGCCAAGGCAAGTGATACTAACTGGTGTTACGGCATTCACACATCATGTCGGACCAACACATGCAGAAGCCGAACATTTACCACAGTGATGGGAAGAGGTGAGTCACAAAGACCCAAAAAGGACACTACTTGTAGCTAAATCCTGTGGAGTAGTGGTGCCTTACTTTCCTCAAGAAGTTCCTAACTCCCTGGTCCTCCTTAAATGGAAGGTAAAGCATATTTGATATGAGAAGCTGTGATCAAAAGCCTTGGTATCATTATGGGATACCCTGATGAACCAGGCAAGTATCAGCAGGTTTTTGAATTGTTGCCTTTGGCCTTGAGTGATATCTCAGAAAAAGTAGTGAGTGCAAAACATCTAGTACTTTTAATGGCCTATGATACTTGGAATATGGAATTTGGAAATGTACAATCTTACACCTACATTGCTGAATAAGACTGAAAAACTTATCAGGGAAAGAGAACAAAGGGAAGGAGGGCTGGATGAACATAAGCTTCACATGTATCTTTCTGCCTTGCAATCCTTGACTGTGTCACTCTTTGCATTAATGGTACAGAATGTACCTTTCTCAAGCAAAGACAAGCTCCATGGTGAAGTACCACAGGTGGAAGTGACTGGGTTCCCTCAGCCTATGTCACCTCTTCAAGATGTGTTTATTACTGGAAGTCAGAAGCAATTGGTAGTGCTACTTCAGTTTTATAATTACCATCTAGAACATGAGGGTACAACGTGAGAGTTTACTGTGGGTTGTCAATCATTACCACAATTTACAGAAATAGATGGCAAAATTAATGTTACTTCACCTGCTTATGTCCATGAATTCTCCAGATTGTTCTAGTGCCTTTGCTGAACATTTGGCAACATGTTTTCAAACACTAAGGTAAAACTTGAGTTCCAGGAGATTTTAAAACTGTCTGAAGAAAACAATTCCTTAACAGGAAATAGAGTCCTCACCAAAGCAGCTATAAAAATGGTAAACTAACAAAAATTAAAAAAAATTTTTTTAAACCTTAAGCAAGGTTTAAAGGAGATGAAAGTATAAAAAGCAGACAATGTATGTGCATGGTAGCACACAGACATACATGTACACACATACACACCACCAAAAAACAACAACAAAAAACAAAACCCCCAAACAGCCATCTAGAGCCATTAAATTTAGAAGCAAAGGACCCTGCACTCTCCAGCAGTCCAAAGGTACACTACTATGGGAAATAGCTATACTAAAAATGACTCACCGTTTAGCTTAAATTCAAATTTACTGAGGCATCAGTATTTTATCTGAGAATCCTACCTAGAGCCCCTATAATTTCCACATGGTATGGGCCGCCATGATCAAGGAAGGAGACATTAGGGTAGGAATTTTTCAGATATGAACGGCAGTCAGACTCACCTGGAAAGCTTGGAAAAAATACAGATTCCCACCCTCTATTCCAGACCCAGTGAATCTATCTCCAGAGAATGGGGACCTAGAAATCTATGTTTTAGAAAATCTCTCCACGTGATTCTGAAAGGTGACCAGATATTGCACCCATGCCCTAAGGGACTTCAGATGTAAAATTTGAAGTGTCTAGTCTTCTTGAGAAATGACTTATAGGTTTTACTTGATTCTCAAGAAAATGTAACACCAAAAAGGGTCACTGCTTTAGACACTGGTAGTAAAATTAAAGGAGCCACTATGCACTTTTCCACTTCAACTAAAAGAATTATTTGAAGTTGTCTTCCACAGCTCTCTAAAAAATGGCTATGTCTTTTGAGAATTAGAGGTAAAACCGGAGGAAAAAACCACTTTTTTGAACTTTATGACATTTAAATAGTTTATGACCAAGTGATCACTATCACATGTCTGTGTGTCAGGTGAATTTATCTTAATATGGGTAAACTTAAGAGTGGTAATTTGTTTTAATAAGTTTTCCTCTAAATTTTTTTCCTTTATAATTATCATTTTGATTGGTAATTAAAAACAGGGCCCACAGCACTTAACCTGAAACTGGGTCATCTAAAGAACTCAACATTGATTCTTCTTTAAATATGTTTTTACCATTTATTTAAAATATGAAGAAACCCATGAATCCAAAGTAGGCATTATCATCAACTAAAAGAAAGTAAGTTATGTAAACTATTCTTTATCTTACGTTTTCAATTTCCTTTTCCCTTCTGAATCATTTCCCTTATACACCCTAGAATGTTCTCTTACAAAAAAAAAGTATTCTTAAAATGAAATAGCAGGAAAAAACAAAGTAGTAATACATATTTTTCTCTTTTGTTTCACTACCAATTTTTTTCAAGAATAATTTGTACTTACTGTCTCCACTCCTCATCCTTTAGTCAACATTTATTGAGCCCCTAATACAGTGATACAGTGAGACTCAATCCTAGTTGCACATTCAGATCACCTGGGAAGCTTTAAAACAACAACAACAACAACAACAAAAAGGAATTACAGACACTCCAGGCCTCACCCACAAGAGGAGCCTGTGCGTTCATTTTGTTTATAAACTCTCCAGTTGATTCTAATGTGCAGCCAGAGTTGAAAATCACTGATTTAATACAGGCTAGGCGCTCTACTGGAATTACAAAGATGGTGAAGACATAAGGCCTGGCCCTGAAGAACACAGGAAATAAGGACAACAGGTAAATTTATTAAAACTGGTAAATGTTATAACAAAGATAAGTACAAATTGCTTAGGGAGCAGAGGTATGTCAGGATACAAAAGAAGAGAAGAAAGTCCTTGAGTCTGGTTATCCAAAGATGAGTAGTTTACAAGGCAAACAAGACTGAAATGCCGTTTCTGGAAAAGGGAAAATACACACATACTTTTTATTATAGACTCCAGTTATCTGGCTTATGTCTCTCCACTCCTTGCTCCAAACACTAGTAAAATTATTCTCTTGAAGGCCACTAATCCCTAGTCCACCACTTAAACAGCCTTAACTGCACCAGTTTCCTGTCTGTACAATGAAGATAATAACAAGGTTATTCTGACAATTAATAGAGAGAATACATGTTAAAGTCCCTGGCATAGAGTAGGTATAATTTGTTTCTCATTCCTTTCTCTTAAATCCAAAGGCTTTTTTCAATCTCATACTCCTTAATCTCTGCAACACTGAGCACCGCTCCTTCTTGAAATTCTCGTCACATTCTGTGACCTCAGCACCTACTCTGTGCTAGCTATCAGTAGGTAACACTTCGACCTCAAGGGTTTCTCCTCACCTTTAGGTCTCTCTCCACTTCTTATTCCTCAAATCAAAGTATAAAGTATACGCTTCCTGCCCTCTCCTCTTTCCCATGTCTAAGCTTTTTGTCCTAAAGGGCTTATCCCATCTCGCTTTAACCCACAAAAAGAGGATTCTCAAATCTCTATATAATCTCTGGAGCTGACCTCTTTTCCAAGCTGTTTCTCTATCTCCGTATCTGCTAGGCATTTTCACATAGACAATGACTAGCATCTCAAACTCCGTACAACCAAAACTAAATTCACCATTATTCCTCCCAGCTGTGTATCCTCTTTCCTGTGTTCTCCAGTTGTTACTAGTGGTACCAATTCCCAGTCATCCAGACTTTAATGTTCACAGTTTTCTCTGACTCACGCCTTTCCCCTATATTCATTTATCAAGTCTTCTTGATTCCAACTCTAAAATCTATTGGCGATCTTTTTTTCCTCCATTTCTTGTGGGACGAACTTAAACCAGGTCCTAAAGTCCACTTAAGCCAGGTTCTCAACTGTTCTTACCAGCTCTAATCTATCTAGACTCATGGGTCTCAACAAGGGGTGAATCTGTCCACCAGGAGACATTCTGGATTGGTAAGCCTGGGTTATGGTAGTGGCATATCATGTGGGCTAAGGATGTTGCTAAACACCCTACAACGCACAGCATGTCCACCTGCCCAACAATATCTGGCCCAAACTGTCAACATTGATGAGATGGAAAAACCCTGACAGTCAGCTGTTAAACAGCACAATTCACCTTTGCATCTCTTATTGTAAAAGTACCAAATATAGAGTAGACACTCAACTATTTAACTGAATTCTTTTTACACAAAACTCACTGCCTGCTTGTTCCCACTTTCCTGTTATTTTTCCCTATGTTGTGCTCTCTGGTATGAGCTTGACCCCAACTGATGTTTACCATACCCCTAGGCAGAAGTAGCTTTTCTATCTTCTAAATTTTTAGACCCAATTTAGTATGTATATTACATATGTCCAATTCCTCTTCGAATCTAGTTTTGCATTATATCTACCTTCCAGGTGATCGCTACACTTTAGTGAATTTAAAACTTAATCTATGCTGTCATTACTGCTATTCACAAATATTCCAATTCTCCTCTTCTGCCCTGACCTTTCTGAAATTAGGTTTATACATGTAACTTGCTTTAGCTAATTGAAATCTGAGCAGAAGTGACGTGAGCTCCTTCCAGCTACTCGGAAGGCTGAGGCAGGAGAATTGCCTGAACCCGGGAGGCAGAGGTTGCAGTGAGCCGAGATTGTGCCACTGCACTCAAGCCTAGGTGACAGAGTAACACTCCGTCTCAAAAAAACAAAACAAAACAAAAAAAACAAGTGTGCAATTCATTCCATTTCCTTCCCACCACTGCAGTGACTGAGAAGAAAGTTTAGATGGAAGCTCTCTAACCAACTGGAACGCTAAATTACTTCCCTGAGCAGGGCTCTCTGCTAACTCACGCTAGACATACATGGAATGAATGAGATGCAGTACAAAGCCTCCACATTCAACACCCTTGTGCTGAGATTTTAGGAGTTTTGTTACTGAACTATATCCTTGCCTATCCTGATTCACAATCAATATAAGATGCATAACTTTATGTACCACTAAACAAGGAAAAACGCTACCAATGAAATATTACAACCCATTGATTGTACAATGCAGCCTGATTTCAGAGATCTTAAAATATAAAAAAGTATCAGTACTGAAATCAGTGAAATGTGGTATATTTAGTAAATGAATGAAGATGGAGGTAAATGGATTTCAAAAGTCATTTCCAGTAGAAACACTGCGAATTAGAATGTATAAGAAAAGTTCTCAGTCATTAGATGCATAGTGAAACATGTAAATATGTCATAAGAGCAAGAATGCAAAAACTATACTTAATCCTCAAAATAAAATTTATGAAATTCTTTTTTGAAACAGCCATGGGTATTTTCATGGAACCTGTCAGAGAGTGGTTTTCAGAAGACAAAGACCCCATTTTCTTTGATATGCATGAATCTCCTATTTAACAAATTATTGCTATAATAACTTTAACAAATTTTTGCTTCAGGTGACTGATTAGGCTTTTAGGTCATAGCTTGGAACCACAGATCCAAGTTTTGCCATCCTGCTTTTCAACCTTAAAAATTATTTTAGATTCTCTGCTCTAAGTGTTTTCATATCTGTATTCTCACACTAACATGCAATTATTCTATCTATTCAACTACTCATGCAAAAATGGCTCCCAAATGCACTGAAAATTTACTACAAATTTACTTTAATGTACAAAGTCTGAAAAACTCCACTAATGCTACAGCTGCTATCAAGTTCCTGTCTGCAACAGAAGTTTTTACACTTTATTGGTGAAATAACATAATTTATCTATAGAATAGAATTAGGAATGAATATTGTCCACATTAATAGCTTTTTGCTTGAGTTTACCTTCTCAATAATAAGAATTTTTTTTTAAACTTTTTGAGATGGAGTCTTGCTCTATTGCCCAGGCTGGAATGCAGTGGTGCGATCACCGCTCACTGCAACATCCACCTCCCGGGTCCAAGCGATTCTCCTGCCTCGGCCTCCCGAGTAGCTGGGACTACAGGTGCACGACACCACGCCCAGCTAATTTTTTGTACTTTTAGTACAGACAGGGTTTCACCATGTTGGCCAGGCTGGTCTCAAACTCCGGACCTCAGGTGATCCACCTGCCTCAGCCTCCCAAAGTGCTGGGGTTACAGGTGTGAGTCACCGCGCCCAGCCAATAAAAACATTTCTAATTTTACATTAATATTATGAAATACAATGGCAGCTTATATTGTTTTTACACACACAAAATTTCTGAAGCCAGTCACTGAGGGAGAAGTATATAAACTGCAGGTACAGCCATCCTATTCATCACATGGTAGAGTAACAACAGATGCTAAAGATGACATTATGTCTCCACTTAGGAATTCCAATGGAAAAGGGAAAAAACGGTAAGCAAATAACTATTACGCAAAATTGTATTTAATACTAACGATCTCTTGAAGAGTTCAGATGAGAGGCTAAACTAGCTGTGTAATCTAAGCTAAATCTTGAGAGATGACTGAGATTTTCATGTTTCAAAAAAGGGGACAGACCTGGGAGCAGTACCAACACTCAAAGTAGATGAAAAGTCATGAGCAGAGAAAAATAACTACCATTTATTGTGCGCTTACTACATGCCAAGCCCATTTAGACTTACAACAACTTAATGAAGAAGGTACTTACTACAACATTCTAACATTTCAGAGCAAACTGAGGCTGAGAGATTAAATAATTTATCTGAGGTGCTAGAAATGGACCAGTGGCTGGGAGTGGTCGCTCACGCCTGTAATCCCAGCACTTTAGGAGGCCAAAGCTGGCAGATCACCTGAGCTCAGGAGTTCCAGACCAGCCTGGGCAACATAGCGAAACCCTGTCTCCACTAAAAACACAAAAATTAGCTAGGGACGCAGGTGTGTGCCTGTAGTCCCAGCTACTCAGGAGGCTAAGACAGGAGAATTGCTTGGGCCTGGGAGACAGAGGTTGCAGTGAGCCGAGATCGTGCCACTGCACTGCAGCCTGGGTGACAGAGTGAGAATCTGTCTCAAAAAAAAAAAAAAAAAAAGAGAGAGAAATGGACTAGTATGCAGCTCTCTGAAGTCTCTCTAAATTCACAGCACGATTAAGTAACAATACGTATTGAAAATGTCAGAACTATTTAGGTTAAAATGGAATACAAGGCCATGAATACCATTTTAAGAACTTGGCTTCCTTGTAAAGGCAATGGAGGATCCAGGCACTAAAATTTTGAGAGTAGAGAAATGACAAAGTAAAGCATGGCTTAGATACAGGAAACAGGAGGGATTAGTCTAGAAATTTTCTAGTAAAAGCCTAACAGTGGCAAATATAACAGAAGGGAAAGAACAGATATGAGACATTTTTCTTGACTTTACTTCTTAACTGTTGGCACAGAACAAGTATAATCAAGTTGCATTCTGTTTGTACAGTGAAATTTTGTTACCAAACATTATTTAACAATCAGGTCAATGCAGAGATAATAAACGAAGTATTAATATAAATGAATTAACTTTTCAAGCAAGAAATAAGTTATTTGTATAATACATATTTTGACGATGGAAGTGACAACTTTTACCAGTTGATTGTAAGGTACAGGGCCAAAAAAAGTTAGAATAAATCTGAAATTAAAAACCAGGATGACTGGAATAATGGGAATAAAGATATAAAGAGAAAAATTATCAAGAGTAGATTATACCCCCCTTTGTGTGAGAGGAAAGAAGATGGGCGTTTATAAATTTACTTCTAGGCAAGCTCCATTTGAACATACCTAATTAACCATCTCCAGTGAACATGAATAGCAGATAAAAATCTGACCAGTAATCAGGAAAGAAGTTAGTGCTACAGCTATGTACCTGGGAGACAACTGCAAAGACCTAAAAGTTGAAGCTATGGGACAGATTATTGTAATCACTGAGGTAAAGGGTTACAGGAAGAAAAACGATCTTTCCCATCAGTAACTAAGTGTATTCCTTCTGGAACTTGAATCTCTTATCCAGAGAGAGGTTTCGGAATGGGTCTTTTCAATTGAGCCTTACACCATAATTTCATACAATTTCAAATTCACAAAAATGCTTTACTGTACAATACAGCTGACCCAGGAATGAAAATGAACTGTTTTTGGCCTAGGGTTTCTGTAACTATGTAAAAAAGTCTATGGGAGGCCGGGCACGGTGGCTCACGCCTGTAATCCCAGCACTTTGGGAGGCCGAGGCGGGTGGATCACGAGGTCAGGAGATTGAGACCATCCTGGCTAACACGGTGAAACCCCGTCTCTACTAAAAATACAAAAAATTAGCCGGGCGCGGTGGCAGGCGCCTGTAGTCCCAGCTACTCGGGAGGCTGAGGCAGGAGAATGGCGTGAACCCAGGAGGCGGAGCTTGCAGTGAGCCGAGATACCGCCTGGGTGAAAGAGCGAGACTCCGTCTCAAAAAAAAAAAAAAAAAGTCTATGGGACACACTATAGCAAGTTAAGAGCTTTAAAGAACTTCATTGTGTTCTTCAGCTAAATTTATTTCCCATTCACCCAGTGGCCAAAGGAGAAAAGGTTATTAAACTTCATAGTAGTATCCTCAAAAAGCAATTGTGTATGATTTTAAAAAACAAAACTATTATTCTAGATTGATTTCTAAAATGCTTCCTATCAGTAACATAACACCTTTAAATGTGTTAATAATAAGCTTTATTCTAAAATCATCAAGACAAAAATTTAGAACCTAACACTATTTGCTTGGTATTACTTTTTAAAAAAGGGCTAGGAATCATGGCTCATGCCCGTAATCCCAGCACTTTAGGATGCCCAAGTGGGAGGATCGTTTGAGCCAGGAGTGTGAGACCACCCTGGACAACATCGTGAGACCTTGTCTCTACAAAAAATTTTTTTAAATTTGCTGGGTGTCCTGGCACACCTGCCTGTACTCCCAGCTACTTGGGGAGACTGAGGTGAGAGGACTGCTTGAGCCCAGGAAGTTGAGGCTGCAGTGAGCCATGATCACCACTGCACTCCAGCCTGGGTGGACAGAGTGAGACCCTGTCTAAGGAAGAATCAACGTTTCTCCTTTTTCAAAATAAGCTGTCAACAAATTAAAAATGAAGAGACAAAACCAGAAGAGGTTCTTATCAATTTTGTTTAAGAAAGCATAATGTCTGCTGGGCATGGTGGCTCACGCCTGTAATCCCAGCACTTTGGGAGGCCGAGGGGGGTGGATCACCTGAGGTCAGGAGTTCAAGACCAGCCTGGGCAACATAGCGAAACCCCGTCTCTACTAAAAATACAAAAATTAGCTGGGCATGGTGGCATGTGCCAGTTATCCCAGCTACTCGGGAGGCTGAGGCAGAAGAATCGCTTCAGCCCCGGAGGCAGAGGTTGCAGTGAGCCAAGATTGCACCACTGCACTCCAGCCTGCGTGACAGAGTGGGACTCTGTATCAAAAAAAAAAAAAAAAAAAAAAAAAAGAAGAGAGCGCATAATGTCACAAGAACATCAACGTTGGACTAAGACAAACTTTAAATACTACCTTCATCTTGACCGTCCTTGGGTGAACTACTTAAAGCTTTTGAACCTCACTCTACTCATCTGTGAAATGGTAATAGAACTACCTCTTACAACAACAAATTAAGTAATGAATGTATCTAACTGAGCCAAGCATATATAAAGTATGGTACTAGACACATCTTAACAGCTTCTCTTCCTTAAATTTGCAATCTAGAATGGAAATTTCAAAAACTTAAAAGTATTCAAAACTTAATATTTTTTTTTAGAGATGAGGTCTCGCTATGTTACCAGGCTGGTCTACAACTCCTGGGCTCAAGCGATCCTCCACACCTTGGCATCCAGAGTAGTTGGCATTACAGGTGCAAACCACCGTGCCCAGCTTAAGAGCTTATTTTTGAAAATTACCAATAAGGCAGTAGAACGAGTAATATTAAAATATCACTTTTAAGTCCTCTCTGTTTTCTGATCCCATACTGGACACATCCTCCTCCCCCAAAATGAAAATAACCTTTAGATATCTCAAGTGACAAGAACGTTAAAATTTCACTTTACTGGTTACTTGAATTTAACCTAAAGGTTTTGTCAGTTTTTAAATTAGTAAATATAGTGATAAAATTTATATGTAAAATATCTACATAATATTCTTACAAAACATCAAAAATCAAATTAGAATTTTCATTCATTTAACCATAAAACATTTTGCTACTAGGCGGCACAGGCTTTAAGACACACAACCTCCTCATTCCTCTTTATGAAGCTTAGTGCCCTGAGAGTGCCAGATAATAAGGCATCTTGTTATCTCATTTTTAAAAAACTTTTTTATTTTAGGCCTTTACAACACATGGCAGGTCTATATTAACTCCCACACCGAGTAGTCTCTCTTCAGCTAGATTTCTAGCCACTTGAGCTACTAATCATCACTTAAGAATGGTAGAATAAAAACACGACAATCTCTTTTTAAGCTTTTTAGCACGCCTCAATTTTAAATATGTTTGTGCACTCCTGTACACTTTCAGTCACCTAAATAAAATAGGATTATTTATCAAGATTATACATTGAATACTGTACAGCAACTTTTGTGGATACGGGGATCTGCCTACTGGGTCTGTGGGCTATGGAGACGTTGCTCGCCCCCATTTTGTTGTTGTATTATCACTTTCACCGAAGAACACAAGAGAAAAAAAGATTTCCGAAAATAAAGATGAGGCTGACTTCTGACCATTCACATTGGGAATGGGACAGAACCTTCTATTTCGGTGCAAGAACACAGCATATAAAAACATCTAGAGCAGAGGGTCCTAAATGAAAATATCCTCAGACTTACATGAAGATTTCTTAAACACCACAACATACCTAAATGTACCTGTATTTTCCTGCACTGGCTTTGAAATTTAAAAATGAAGCACTCTTTAACGAAGAGTGGACATTTCCAACCCTGCAACTAACTCATTCCTATGTTCTGTCAGTTACTTCTAAGGGTCCTTTCCGAGAAACAGTCAAAATTAGCAGGGTTCTCCCCTACCCCACCACCCTCGGGAATGGGACGTTCCCAAAAGCCAAACGAAAGGGGCGAATTAAGAGAGCAGCAGTTCAATGAATTATTCCATTACTCGTTTTAAATATCTGAGAACTTAAGTCGTTCATCTGGTTCCATTGCTGTCACAGCATCTAATATACAGTAAAAGGAGTTGCACATTTTCCCCTCTTCGGAAGAAGTCCTAGCAGGAAAGTGAGGTGCCACCAAATCGACCCCCGGGGGGGGGCTGCTGCCAACGTGGGCAGAAAACAACTATGGGGAGGGGGTCGTCTTTTTGTGAGCAACTCCGCTGCCTCCTGGGGAACATGGGAGCTGCAAGCTTACTGCTAGAGCCACGAAAGGAAAGAGAGAAGGAGGGAGAGATGCCTCCATGGGGAAAGGGAAAAAAAAGGATAAACCGTAGAGGATCAGAAAAGGAAGCATTTTGCTTTGAGGAGGGGGAAGTAGAAGGGAGAAGTGAAGGTCTGCTTCCTAAGCGATTTTTCCCTTCCCCTCACCCGCCGCTACACTCACAGGCCAGGCCGCCGCGCTGGGCACTGCCCTTGGGCCGCTCCCACGCACGGACGCAAACCCCTTTGCGTCCCTGGTCCCCGGTCCCCGGCCCCGGCGGAGGCCCCGCGGCCCGACAGCAGGAGAGGGTCCTGGGCAGCCGCCGCCCTCCCCCGCGCCCGCGCCCCCGCCCGCCGTCGCCCGGCTCCCGCTTCCTATTTTCGGAGTACACACCCTACAAGGAGCGGAGCGAGCAGGCCTGGCAGAGACCTGCCCCCGCGCGGGGCCTCGGGTGACGGACAGGGGCAGGCACTGGGCGCAGTAAGGATGGGGGAGGAAGGGCAGCCGAGGGCAAGGCCAGCTGCGGGCCAATGCCCTTCCCCCGCGACCAGACTCCGGGCCCACCCGCCCGGGCTGAGCCGGCTCCTGACAGCCCGCGCCGTCGCCCCCGCGACTCTTACCTTCTCTTCATCAGACAACTGCTCCTCCAGATCCGCCATCTTCCTTCTGGCGACAAACCGCGGCGGCGGCGGCGGCAGCGGCCACCTGACTTCCCCGTTTCCGTGCGGTCCTCAGCGCCGCGCGCCCCCGCTAAGGGAGGGGCCCGCCGCTCAGGCCGCCGCGCACGCGCACCCCGGGAGCCCCGCCTCCCTCGACCCGGCCCTCGCGGACTGAGCGCGGCTGTGCGCGTGCGCGGGCGCCTGGTGGCCGGGCGGGGGACCGTGTCTCGCTGGGCCGCCTGCTGCAGGCTTGCTAGCATCTTGAGTGCAGCGTGCTCTCCCCACTGTGACCATATGGGCTCAGTCTGCGATGAGTACATTCTGAGCCCTTCGTTATGTTTCCATCAAGTCCTGAACTCTGCCAGCTAAAATGTGAAAAGGTGTACAAATAGAAGCCTTTTAAACATTGTTTTTTCAAATATTAGAGAAGATAGTTGGCTTTCATTAAAATACACATCACGACCCTCTCCATAATTGAAAGATTGCTCTTGATATACTCCTTTATTCATCCAACAAATATTTTTTGGTTCTTTAACGGGGTGCGGGGCACTGTGTTAGTCTCTGGGGATACAGTGTTGAGGGGGAAAAAAGCAAGCTAGACATACATGTTCATAGCAGCACAATTCGCAATTGCAAAGAGATGGAACCAACCTAAGTGTCCATCAACCAATGAGTGGATAGAGCAAATGTGGGTATATACACCATGGAATACTACTCAGCCATAAAAAGGAACGAAATAATGCCTTTTGCAGCAACTTGGAAGGAGCTGGAGGCCATTATTCTAAGTGAAGTAACTCAGGAATGGGAAACCAAATATTTTATGTTCTCACTTATAAGTGGGAGCTAAGCTATGTGGGTTCAAAGGCATAAGAATGATAAAATGGACTTTGGGGACTGGGGAGGGGATAAATTACTACGTATTGGGTACAGGGTACACTGCTCAGGTGATGGGTGCACTAAAATCTCAGAAGTTACCGCTAAAGGACTTATCCATGTTACCAAAAATCCACCTGTATTCCAAAACTGTTGAAATAAAAAGAGAAACTTCCATACTCAAGAAGCTCATTTTCTACTCATTAAACAAACATATATTGAACAGTTGGGGCCGGGCGCGGTAGCTCAGGCCTGTAATCCCAGCAATTTGGGAGGCCTCCGTGGGCAGATCATCTGAGGTCAGGAGTTCGTGACCAGATTGGCCAACATGAAGAAACCCCGTCTCTACTAAAAATACAAAAATTATCCGGGGCGTGGTGGCGCATACCTGTAATACCAGCTACTCGGGAGGCTGAGGCAGGAGAGTTGCAGAAGTCATTGCAACCCGAGAGGCGGAGGTTGTCCCTGTCCCTGCAACCCGGGAGACGGAGGTTGCAGTCAGCCGAGGTCGCGCCACTGTACTCCAGCCTGGGTGACAGAGCAAGACTCTGTCTCAAAAAGCAAAACAAAAAAAAACAAAAACAGTTGGGGAAGGCACTGTACTATTCCAGGGGAATACAAAGCTATGTTAGACATGGATCCTACCCTCCTGAATAGGTTTGCCATATTAAATATAGGACACTTAATCAAATGTGAATTGCAGATAAGCAATCTTTTAAAAAGTATGTCCCATGAAGCAGTGGAGACATACTTAAACCAAAAAATTACTCATTGTTTTCAAATTTTACTGGACATCCTTTACTTTTATTTGCTAAATCTAGCAACCCTGCTTTTGAAGCTTGAAGTTTATGAGAGATTAAACATGTAATCAAAGCTGCGTAGATATGAATCAATTGGGAATCTTGTGAAAACGAAGTTGTTAATTCAATAGATGTGGCATGAGACTGGAGAATCTGTATTCTCCAGAATACAGCCTGTAGAATAACAGGCTCCCAGCTGATGCCAGTGCTCCTGATCTGGAGACCACATTTTGAGTGGTAAGGCCTTAGGGTTTAAGATAGGCGTTCAGATTCCGTGAGGAACTGTTGAGAACTTTTGAACAGTGACATGACATGATCAGAAATATGTGCAGCAAGATGAATCTGACAGCTGCACATAAATGAAATGTGAGAGTATCAAATAAATGTTCAGAGGCAAGACCTTATTATTAAGTAATTTATTGGGTGTTCATAATGTGCAAATCATTGTTTTTTGTGAATGGACGGCAAACAGAAGCTATGATATTGAAAAACTGATGGTTCATTTGGGGAGAGAAGAGGAAGGAGAAGCATGCTGACACATGCAGAAAAAAGCAGGTGTCCTTTCGAGGATAAACGTTGTGAAGAAGATAAAGAGAATAAACCACATAGTTTAACCAAGGGTAACACTGGATGAAAATTAACATGTTTACTCTTATAGATTACAAATCATTGCTTCATTGATTTCTCACTGCAACCTCAAGTGAGGTTCTTATCAGTACCATTATACCCATTTTACAGAAGAAAAAAATGAGGCTAAATGATTTAAGATTGCATAGATCCCAGCACTTTGGGAGGCAGAGGTGGGCAGATCACCTGAGGTCAGGAGTTTGAGACCAGCCTGGCCAACATGAGGAAACCCTGTCTCTACTAAAAATACAAAAATTAGCTGGGCGTGGTGGCTCACACCTGTAATCCCAGCTACTTGGGAGGCTGAGGCAAGAGAATCACTTGAACCCAGGAGGCGGAGGTTGCCTGGGCAACAAGAGCAAAACTCCATCTAAAAAAAAAAAAAAAAAGAAAGAAAGAAAGAAAGAAAGAAAGAAAGAAAGAAAGAAAGAAAGAAAAAGATTGCATAGCTCCTAAGTGACCGAGCTGGGATTGGAACCTAGGCATCTTATTTTATATTTCATGTTCTTTCCACTGCAAGATTTTTCTTTCTTCCTCTTAAGTCTGGGCACTGTCCACCAAATAAAACTTAATGAAGGCAATTACTATCCCATCCTGTAAATTCAATTCACCACCCTGTGCTGCATCAGCAGTACTTCTGGTTTTGTTTTTTTTCCTGTCTTTTTTCCTGTTTACTCAGCAACACCTATATTAGTATTTTGTATACAGTGGATACTCAGCAAATATTATTGCTTGATTAATTGGCTGCTCTCTTCCTCTAGAAACCTCACCCAAATATGGTAATGTTTTGCAATAATTTGAGTCAGAGTGTGTTTATAATTGTAACCTTAGTGATACAATACATGTGGTTTCCCATAGTGACACAACCCACAATTATGTATAATTTCTGATAATCTTTTCAGTAATCTTCCAATACCACCCTCTTGGTACAATTAAAAGGAATTCTAAAATTTGCGTAGCCTATGTATTCTAGAAAGATTTTAAGCTGTCACACAAATAGGTAAAATATGAAATTATTGTTATATGACTGCAAGGAAAAATGTACTGGTAGTCTTGGATAATCAGTTGTTTTATGAGGAGGAGAAAATAAACAAAATATTTATCCTATACATGATTTTACCTACTAAGAATTTCTACCCTTTTCTTAATTAATTTCCAAACTTACTTCTCTTCTTTTTGTTTTTGGCTGTTTTTTGTTTTTGTTTTTTTTTTTGAGACACAGTCTCGCTCTGTTGCCCAGGCTGGAGTTCTGTGTCATGATCTCGGCTCACTGCAACCTCTGCCTCCCAGGTTCAAGCTATTCTCCTGCCTCAGCCTCCCGAGTAGCTGGGACTACAGGCACCTGCCATCATGCCCAGCTAATTTTTGTATTTTTAGTAGAGATGGAGTTTCACCATGTTGGCCAGGCTGGTCTCGAACTCCTGACCTTGTGGTCCACCCACCTTGGCCTCCCAAAGTGCTGGGATTACAGGTGTGAGCCACCACGCCTGGCCAAACTTACCTTTCTTCTGCTTATTCATGGTCTGATCTTGGTCTTTCCAATTAACATCACCAGAATTTTTCTTCCTTTTATAGTGTTTGTTTTTAAGTTACTTGTATACTTTTACATCGATTTTCCTATGGATATACTCGAATTATTCAACTACGTTTTAAACTTGTCAAGACCAGTGGTTACCCAATTTCACAGAAAAACAATCTTAGGGTGCATCTACTACAAACCTCTCTCTTTACAGATGAGTTGAGCCTTAGATAAATAAATGACATAATAAAAATTGCACATCTAGCTAATATTATTTTAGGATCCAAGTATCCTGATGGTCAGACTCATGTTCTTTTATGTACATATCCATACCAAATAATGTAAAATAAGATGAATAATAGTATTACTGTGTGATCATTAAGTGATTGTACCAGATATAGACTTCTATAGTACCATCTCTGCACCAGAAAACTAACATCTGCAGCTTAAAATTTGACTTACCTCGCTTCTGAGAAAAACTATCAGTGTTAGACAACTAACATTTGGTTGTTTGTTAATGTCATGGTCAATTAACACAACTGGTCTCAAGTAAAGTCCTTTATGGCTGTGGAAAAGTGTAAAAACTCATATATTTTAAAAGTAATTATCTTTCTAAACAAATAATTGCTTAAGTTATTTATAGTTGAGTGTATACCTGCGGTCCATTTCCTCAGCTAGTTTTGAAAAGGTACACACAAGTAGTGCCCCTGGAGAAGCCTGACGTAGATCATTCTAGAGTTACTCAGGAATTATTGAAGACCTTCTTCTTCTTTTTCTTTTTCTTTTTTTCTTTTTTTTTGTTTTTGAGATGGAGTCTTGCCTTGCTCTCTTGCCAGGCTGGAGTGCCGGGCTGCCATCTCTGCTCACTACAATCTCTGCCTCCCAGGTTCAAGTGATTCTTCTGCCTCAGCCTCCTGAGTAGCTGGGATTATAGGTGTGTGCCACCACACCCGGCTAATTTTTGTATTTTTAGTAGAGACGGGGTTTCACCATGTTGGCCAGGATGGTCTCGATCTCCTGACCTCATGATTCACCAGCCTCAGCCTCCCAAAGTGCTGGGATTACAGGCGTGAGCCACCACGCCCAGCCAACACTTCTTTTTCAACCCCTCCTCCGTCCCGAACGTGCTATCCTTCCTAATTTCCTTCCTACCAACCTCACCAGACCCACCTCTGCCACTGCCCCTGAATGCATATGTCATTGAAACACACAAAGCTGCATATATATCATATGCTCTCAGGCTTCTGTCAAAGCTTTCTGGAATGTTGTTTGCTACCTATCCTTTAAAATTCTGTTATCGGTTTTCTTTGAAACTCTCATTGAATCCTCTAGCTAAGCTAATAATTTCTTCTAGATTACCATAGAAACTTTTCCATTGATTTTTGTTGTATATACCAGTGATGAGGTATACAGATTTTATCATCACTAAATCCTGGATTCTGATCTTCGTTCTAGCTCTAGTTAACCTTAAGGAACTTACTCTGCAGGCTTGCATTTCTTCATCTATACATTAGGGATAACAATAGTACCACCTTTGTAGGGCTGCTGTGAGGATTTAACAAGACAATGCAGGCAAAGTGCTTAGCACACAGTGCAGGCCTTAGTAAAAGTCTCAATAAATATTAGCTATTATCATCATATTATAATACCAATTTGGTCTTTAAGGACATGTCTGGCACATACAATGTCTGGCAAATAAATGCTTAAAAAAGCTTTGTTGGAATGCATATTGATTAAACGACACTTTTATTTCGCATCCCTAAATGAGAGCTGAAAAGTTGATTTAGCAACACATACGGGATTTAGAGATTGTTCTAAAATGTGGACTGGGGACTCCAGAATGGGAAAGTGAACAATTTTTTCCCAAAAACCTCAAAATCATACCAATATCTCCAAGTCTTTACTACTCCATATTCAGTCACCACTTAAATATCTCCCTAGTTGATTTCTTACTCTTTAATTCTCCTGTCACTATAAGTTCAAGCCTTTAGTATCTTCATACCATGTCCCAAACAAAGTACAGGGGACAGGGAGTATTCAAAATGATCCTTTAGGGTGAAGCAAGGAAATACTAAAGCTTGTATTTTCTTCTGCTTTTTTTTTTTTTTTTTTTTGGAGACAAGACTTGCTCTGTCACCCAAGCTGGAGTGCAGCAGCGTGATCATAGCTCACTGTAGCCTCCATCTCCTGGGCTCAAGTGATCCTCCCACCTCAGCCACCTGACTAGTTGGGACTACAGGCGTGCAACACCACACCTGGCAAGTTTTTAAAATTTTTCGTAGACAGGGGGTTTTGCTATGTTGCCTAGGCTAGTCTTGAATTCCTGAACTCAAGTGATCTTTCCTGCCTCAGCCTCCCAAAGTGCTGGGATTACAGGCAGGAACCCCCATGCCTGGCCTCTATTTTCATTTACTTATTTGAATTATTGTTACACAACATTTCAGGCATACAAAAAAGCATGGTTTAATTCTTCCAGTTCCCATTCCCTTTTCTTCTTCCTTCAGGTAACCACCAACCTGAATCTCATGTTTATCATTTCCACGTATGTTGCTTCTTTTTCAACACAGGAACACTCCTTTTTATCTGCCTAATGTGGTACCTAACTTTAAAAATATTTATGAGGCTGGGCATGGTAGCTCACGCTTGTAATCCCAGCACTTTGGGATACTGAGGCGGTCGGATCACCTGAGGTCGGGAGTTCGAGACCAGCCTGACCAACATGGAGAAAACCCGCCTCTATTAAAAGTACAAAATCATCTGGGTGTGGTGGCACATGCCCGTAATCCCAGCTACTCAGGAGGCTGAGGCAGGAGAATTGCCTGAACCCGGGAGGCAGAGGTTGCTATGAGCCGAGATCGTGCCATTGCACTCCAGCCTGGGCAACGAGGGCAAAACTCTGTCTCAAAAAAAGAAAGAAAGAAAGAGAGAGAGAGAAAGGAAGGAAGAAAGAAGGAAAGAAAGAAAGAAAGAAAGAAAGAAAGAAAGAAAGAAAGAAAGAAAGAAAGGAATTTTTTTGCATATTTTTGTAAACAACATGGATAGAGATCTTTAGACTAATTACTGTCTTTTTAAAAATCTCCCTATATGGCAGTGTAAATTGTGGGGCATAAATGAAAAGATAAGTCAGACTCTTGACCTGGAAAGATGAAGCAACACAATGCATAGATTTGCTGGTAGGGAGTGAAAAGACAGATCCAGTATCTTTACTTTTTTTACCTTTAATGTCTGACAGTACTTTTAACTTTTATTTGGACTCAGTAATAGCAGATAGCAGTGTAGCAGAAAATGAAGTTTGTGGTTTATCTTTCCCCAAGCCACACCAACCTCCAATACAATTATATTTCTCTAACTCAGGTCAAGCCCAAGGAATTGCAGGAGCACCCACACAAATGCCTTCCTTTTGGCTGTTTGGGGATGCCACAGTGATTCATTTGCATTCAAAATTGCTCACACTGCTGTCCTTTTCTGTCCTTTGACATTGGCCTTTATCATCTCTGAGCTTTCTTTCATCAGACCTCTCCCGTTGTTACAGCTCTAAAATCTGTCCTGATGCTCCTCTCCTGGGACACAGGGCTCTGTGCTCATATCACCTCATCTTCTCCTTGTGGGATTAGCTGCTTCTATTGCAGGTAGGCTCTGGCCATCCCCAGCAGTTGTCCCAGGCTGTGTTGTGGGGGCCCAGGTTTTTGTGGTCTTCTTCTGATGGATAGAGCTGCAGCAGACACCGTAAGTGCTTTGACCAGATCTGCTGGGATCACTTTCACTATTTCTGTGCTTCAGTGCTTTTTTCCCTCTGCTTCACAGTACCTGTATTTATTCTTCGGAGGACTGCTCTTGTGCGTCTGGGGCTGCTTTGCCAGTAAGCACAGAGCTGGGATTTTAGGTCCCCTGGCGCAGCTCTTAACCAATGACTGCCAGATGATGGAGTAAAAAGACCCAGCTCCCTTGCTTCAGGTCAGGAAAACTCTGAGGTGTAATTTACATTCCAGATCTTCCTGGGGGAGAAAGCAAGTCTCAACTTTGTTTGCCTTTTCTCTCTTTCCTGGGAATGACTAAAACATCATGAAAAATTCCCAGATTAGCAATATGGGAACAGCAATGGAACAGAAGGCATGTCATACACGTGAGGCCACGTTGGGCTCCAGACTGGAGGTGGGAGGCCAGTTGTTAACCTTGGTGCCAGGTCATCAGGGCTGGCCTGTCTTTGAGGATAAGCTCCAAAATGCTGATTTTGAAGGGTGGTAATCTACTCTTGCTTTAGTTAGGTTAACCCTGGGAACAGAGTATGGCTAATTTTTCAGGTGACTTTAAACGGGGAGAGGAATAAAGAGAGCAAAGCCAGGAACTCACCTGAATTGAGCTTGACAAGGTGCAAAGCAGAGAGGTGGAGTGGAGGAAGTTGTTTTTGTTGTTGTGATTGTGGTTTCTAGAGACAGGGCCTTGCTCTGTCACCCAGACTGTAGTGTAGTGGCATAATCATAGCTCACTGCAACCTCAAACTTCTGGGTTCCTAGGCTCAAGTGATCCTCTCACCTCAGTCTCCTTAGTAGCTAGTACTACAGGAAGGTACCATCATGTCCAGCTAATTTTTTAAATTTTTGTAGAGATGAGGCCTCACTATGTGGCCCAAGCTGGCCTTGAACTTCCAGCCTCAAGTGATCCTCCCACCTTGGCCTCCCAAATTGCTGGGATTACAATGATCTACTGGGCCCAGACAGGAGAGAAAGTCTTAAACTATAGGACATGATCCATGTCCTAAAGTAGCTTACATTCTGGTTGTGAAAGGCTAGAAATCAATGTGTAAAAAGATAACCCTACAAAGCAATTTATAAGTGCAAAATAAATGGCACAAATGAGAAATGTTTCATTTATATATATGAAATTAGAAGTGAAACATATTGAAACAAGGAATAGAAGGAAGAAATGGAAACTTTAAAATTATACTTGTATTAGGTATTTCTTAATTTGCTACAGTGACTATCTGATGACTGAAGTATGAGTTGGAGGCACATTACAATGTTAAACTAGTAATATTTATTTTTAATCAAATTCTTAATACTTCCAGAGAAAATCTAATTCTAAAGATAAGTGTACATGTAACGGCTTTCAATCACTTCTTAGATGAGTGGCTTATTTTAGAAAACGGTTTCTTAATTTCACAATATTTATCATAGTAAGACAAAGTAAGAGATTAATGAATAGTAGAACATATTAGAATACACTGAGTGTATTCTATTATGTTTGGGTTTTGAGAGATATTGAAGAAAGGAACATCTGCCTCTTGGGAAAGTAATTTCCTTTTATGAGAAGGCATCATATTTTCAGCCTAACATATCTATATTTTAACTCATGGGAGAATTAGCTGTGTGATTTCTGTCTACTAGCTAAAGCATTCTGAGCCTCAATTTCATCATCTGTTAAGTGAAAGACGTGTAATACCTAGCTCATTGCATTTTGCGAGAATAAAGTGATGTATATTTTATGCTTTATAAATACAAAAAGCATTGCTATTTTTAATTCATAGAATGATGAAAACTGAATTCTACTCTTTCATCTTCACTGTGATAACTGTAATAAATAAATGAAATATTTTCACAGGTGTTTAAACTTTCATTTAAAGTAAGCATTGAAAATATTTCCCCTAGTTTTGCTTTTGACATTATTCTACTTCGTAATTGTCATAGGTAATAATGTCTTATGAAATAGAAGAACAAAGGCCAAGTACAGAGACTTGTGTCTTTATCCCAGTGCTTTGGGAGACTGAGGTTGGAGGATTGCTTGAGGACAGGAATTTGAGACCAGCCTGGGCAACACAGTGAGACTTTGTCTCTAAAAAAATTAAAAATAATTAGCCACACATGGTGGCATGTGCTTGTAGTCCTAGTTATTTGAAAGAATTGCTTGAGCCAGGAGTTTGACATTACAGTGAGCTATGATTGTGCCACTGCACTCCAGCCTGGGTGACAGAGACACTATCACTAAAAAAATAGAGGACAAAGTATTGGCTTAAAATGCCCAGATTTCAGGCCTGTTTTTTGTTTGTTTGTTTGTTTGTTTGTTTCATACGTAAAAAGTCCAGTGATCTTGGACAAGTCTCTTAACCTCTTCATCTAATTCAGAGTTTTATTGTGAAGCTTCCATGAAATAATGCATGAAAGGTGCTTTGTAAAATAAGTGCCAGATAAATGTAAAGAAATATCAAGGAGTGGTTGCGGGCGCCTGTAGTTCCAGCTACTCGGAGAGGCTGAGACAGGAGAATGGAGTGAATCCGGGAGGCGGAGCTTGCAGTGAGCAGAGATCGCTCCACTGCACTCCAGCCTGGGCGACAGAGCGAGACTCTGTCTCAAAAAAAAAAAAAAAAAAAAAAAAAAAAGGAATACCATTAAAGTACATTATGCCTCGTGACATCTGTAGCCTGTTACTCATCTTTCGTTTGTATATCTAGTGTACTCAAGTTTGGTGATCCATGAGTAGTTCTCCAAAAAACATTTATTGTGCTTCTACTATATATCTGCACTCTGCCAGTCATTGGAGATGTAGCAATGAACAAAACAGACATGGTCCCTACCTTCATAGAGCTTATGATTTAGAGGAGAAACAAATAGTAAACAATCACTCAAATAACTATGCAATTGCAATTGTGATAAGTACGGTGAAAGAAATGTACAAGGTCATTTGAGTACGTAGGTTGGGGAGAGAATTCTCAATAGGTCTTTCACATTCCTGCACAACTTTCAAGAAGACTGATCACCCTTTGCTCTGGACTACCTTTTTAAAGGAAGTTTGCATAGCAAACAGCATTGGAAGATAGCATCACCCTTGAGAGCAAAGCACAAGGATGCTTACTGCCCATATAAGAAACCGGGGCTCCCTAAGCTCAAGGATTCTCTTCTGTAATCCACCTTATTGTGTGTGCAGGCTTCCATCTGGAGCCATCTGTGTTGCCCCATGAGGCACGGGAATGAGAGAAACTAATGCAAATAATGCTGATGCTCTTGATGCTTGATGTGCCACGAGTAATAAAATCCTTTGTCTTTGAATCTGGGGTCTTATGTTTTCTGCTAGCATCCATGAAACTAAAGCAAGCTAACTTACTAGCTTGAAAGTAGAACAGAATCATAGACCTATTATAAAAGGGGAACAATTTTAGGAAGCGGCCTCTGCTTTAGCCTCCCTCCAATTCATATTTTTTCCTTTGGATACATGGTCTTGCTCTGTTGCCCAGGCTAGAGTACAGTGGCGTGATTATAGCTCATTACGTCCTTGAACTCCTGGGCTCAAGTGATCCTCCCTGCTCAGACGCCCAAATACCTAGGACTACAGGTGTGCACCACCATGTCTGGCTAATTTTTTAAAATTTTTTATAGAGATGGGGTCTCACTGTGTTGCCCAGCCTGGTCTTGAACTCCTAACCTCAAACCATCCTCCCACTTCAGACTCACAAAGTGCTGGGAATACAGGTGTGAGCCACACACCTGGACAAGTATTTTTTCTGGATGTGTTCCCTTCTTTGCTAGGTGCATAGGTGTCATCTGGTGTCTCCCTCTCTCGTTCTCTTGGAAATTCCTTTAGTATCCTGTGTTAAATCCGCTTGAGATTTCCTATTTATTTTCAGCATCCAGTGACTTCTACGCTCTTGGTCTACTCATGTTTATAGAATATGTTGCCCAAAAGTTTCCTGAGAAAAAATATCCAGGAGGTCAATTTTTGTAACTGTACGTATCTGAAAACGTCTTTATTTGACCCTTATTTTTCGCTGATAGTTTGGATGGGCATAGAATCCTAGATTGGAATTAACTTTCGTTCAGAATTTTGAAGGCTGCTTCATTGTCTCCAGAATTTTTTTGGTAAGTTCCTGTCGGGAAAAGCCAAATGGGAGAGACGTATAGGGAAGATATGTGCAAAGGGGTGTAGGGCTTTCATGCCCTCTCTGGGCATATCACCCTTCCAGCACCTCCATGTGTTCGTTGGCCATTGCTGATTGACTCAATCTCCAGCCCCTTTTCCCTCCCTGGAAGTGGGGCTGAAAGTTCTGACCCTCTAGCCACGTGGTTGTTGGTTCCTTTGACCACCAGCCCCATCCTCCCAGAGGTACCGACTTAACATAAACTCAGGTGTGGTTGAAAGGAACTTATTACAAATGAAATTATGAAAAAAAATCTTTCACCCCTATCACTGAGGAAATTCCAAGGGTTTTAGAAGCTCTGTGCCAGGAACTAGGGGGTGAAGACAGAATATACATTTCTTATTGCCACACATCACAATATCAGAGACCTATGGGTCCTTCCATTCTGGAAAATCATGTTTTTCTGTTTTGAAAAAATTTCTTAAATTATTTCTTCAATTATTTCATTGATAACTTGCATTCTTCCTCTTTCCCCGTTTTTTTTTTTCTACCCTGCAACTCCAGTTGTTTGAATATTCTTTCTCCTGGATTGGTGCTCTAATTTAAAAAAATGTTTTTCATTCTTATGTTTAATGTATTTTTTTTGGTCCTACTTTTTGAGTAATGGTCCTGACTAACCCTACTACTGAGTTTTTCCTGTTATTTGTTATTGACTCATGCTTATGAGTGCTTGATTAAATAGTTGAATTTTACCTTAAGATGGTATGAATGGGCCATTTTATGATTCTCACCTTGCTTTGGTCAGAAATTGTATAGCATAGAAGACTCTCCTGATCTGAAAGTCCTGGCTAGGAATATTTTAGAAGCCAAGTAGAGAAAGAGGGAAAGCTGTCTCAGCATCCAGTATCCACATGTTCCCTTAAGTCCTGTTTTTGGTATAAGATTTTAATCCTCAACTATGTTCGGTATCCACCAGTCCAGAATCCATTTATTTTGCCCTCTCCAAAGAATACACTTCACCTCAGCCCAGGTGGGAAGGGACAAGTTGCTTCCACACTCCAGCCCAGGTGCAGAAGGGACAAGTTGCTCAGCAGCACAGAGGAGATGGGGGAGACCTGGGAAGCTACTGGCTTCTCAAACAGCCTTCATCTGGACCTCCTGATTTGGGGCCCCACTTCACCACCATTTCCAGAGGTGCTTGGTGCTATCATGTCATGGACCTTTGGGGATTCTGTGGTTACAAATCAGGCTGGTTCTTGGCTTTCACCATCACCAGATTAGGATTTGGCTTTTTGAGGTCTCCAAGTTGGCTACAACCCTCCATCTGCTTTCTGGCCTCAACATTTCGAGTGCTCTTGTCTCTTTCCCTTTTTTCCACGTTTTTTGTGTGCTTGTTAACTTAAAAAAAATTTTTTTTTTGAGATGGAGTCTCCCAGGCTGGAGTGCAGTGGCGCAATCTCAGCTCACAGCAACCTCCGCCTCCCGGGTTCAAGTGATTCTCCTGCCTCAGCCTCCCGAGTAACTGGGATTATAGGTGTGTGCCATCATGCCTGCTAAGCTTTGTATTTTTAGTTGAGATGGTGTTTTGCCATGTTGGCCAGGCTGGTCTCGAACTCCTGACCTCAGGTGATCTGCCCACTTTGGCCTCAAAGTGCTGGGATTACAGGCGTGAGCCACCGCACCTGGCCAAAAAAATTATTTCTAGAGGGTTTAGTGAGGGAAAAAAATCAGACACGTGTTCTGTTCACCAACTCTACCTATGACCTCCTATTCAGTTACTATACTGCAGCTGGAAAGAACATCCTGTTTTGGTTTCATGGATGCATGGATATACTATCTATCACAGTAAGAATATTACTGAGAAGTTTTTGGGGTTTTGTGTTTTTTTTCTAAAATACTGTTTTTCAAAATACAAATCTGATAGTGTCACTCTTTCCACCCTACTTCTATTTCAGCAGCTTCTTTTCTAATGCTTTTAGATAAAGATCAAATTCCTAAGCATGAGTTCCAAAACCATATGGGGGCACAAATTTATGGTGAAATAGACATAATAGACATATATTTTTGCAGCACAGTGTTCTTTGTTTCAAAGTCAAATTGAATTTGAGTGTCTATAGGCAAGGATTGTACTCTCCATTTGACCGTTGGTTTTGCAGCTCCATCTTGTTGAATACATGGTCATTTTACACATTACCTCCCCAGGCATTTAGGTACTCAAATCATTCACCTCTGCCTTGCAGGTTTTGGTGTCACCAGCTCATCCTTTACTACATTCCCTCGTTTTCTCAGCTCTATCACTGGACTTCTTTTGTTTCTTTGTAAGCCCCTTGATCACTGGATGATATAAAGTCAAGTTGAACTATTTGATGCTTTTTAGGTAGCAATAAAATATTTTCATTATTTGAGTTTTGCAAATGAAAGCAAAAAACTAACCTTAGAATACAAACAAAATAAAAAACAACCCAATGTTTTGCAATGATTTGCCTGGTTCTTTATTAGGCATCCAGGTTTTTGTTGGGGGTACAGCAACGATAAGCAAACAAACGCTCCAAAAAAGTGATATAGTAAAACAGTAATATCAGAATGTGAAGATATACCCTTTAAACACTTTGATTCTTAAACCCAGTACACCTGGATAGTCTGAAGAATAAAAATGGAAGGTAGAAATGTTGGAGGCCTATATAAGTGGAAATATGATTTGGGATGATTAATTGGATTCTCTTCAGTGATAAATATTTAAGATAACCATGCTGCAATGTCCTTGATGGATTAGATATCCTAAAATTACAGATCATTTACTCAATTGTTGAACATGAAAGTGAACATTCATTTGTCTTGTATAAAAAAATTCTAATTCTAGTAGGCACCCTCAACAAGATAGTCATTGAATTCTAGATTAAATCACATTACACTATCAATATTATAATTCTGCCACATTGCATAACCCTAACTTTAATAGAATGATAAACCTTGAAACAATTCACACACACAGACATGATTATCACACACTTATTAGCAAAAGTAACAAATTTGAAACATGTTATATAAAAATAGGCTCTGTAATCAGTAACTGGAACCAGTACTTCCAAATTAGGCCAAATTTTTATCCAAATGAACTTTTGAAGAGAACCATTCATGATGCTTGTGAATGTGAATCATAACATTCCTCTCTACCTTCCCTTTTTTTTTTTTTTTTTTGAGACAGAGTCTCGCTTTATCGCCCAGGCTGGAGTACAGTGGCACGACCTTGGCTCACTGCAACCTCCACCTCCCAGGTTCACACCATACTCCTACCTCAGCCTCCCAAGTAGCTGGGACTACAGGTGCCCGCCACCACGTCTGGCTAATTTTTTGTATTTTTAGTAGAGACAAGGTTTCACCATGTTAGCCAGGATGGTCTCGATCTCCTGACCTCGTGATCTGCCTGCCTCGGCCTCCCAAAGTGCTGGGATTACAGGTGTGAGCCACCGCGCCCGGCCTCTACCTTCCCTTCTAAACATCAGTGAAATTGGTTATTTACACTACAAACATTTGAAACTTTAAGGGAAAGTATTCTAAACTCCTAAAAGAGCCTCATTTATAGGTAACTATATCCCATTGAGAAAGAATACATTTACTGTACCAGTGATTAAAACAGAAGGTAGGTTTTCTTTATTTTACAATTGCTTATCACCTAAAAGACTGCCTTCTGCTTTCCTTTTAAAAAGATAAAAAGTAGGAGGAGCAAGAAAAATAATGTACAATGCTAAGTATATTTTTGTTTGTCTTCATGGTTGACAAATATTCATTATGACAAAATAAATTTAATTTCTGTGCTAGCTATAATTTTTAGTTATAAAGAACAATGATAAACTCAAGTTACCTCAATTCTGAAGTATTTATTACAAGGAAATGGGGGAATTAAGGAAGATGGGGGGTCTCAGTCAGGTGATGAGGTATCAAGAACAGGAACTCCTCCATCTCTGAGCAGGAAAATAAGAACCTAATTGTGCCTGAGCTTCCTGGAGAACAGACTCCTTCTGGACTGGCAAGATCATTCCAGACAGGCTCAAGGCAGCTTTAGGTTATCTGTTCACCCCGGCAGTCCCTACTCTGCTGAGCCATTAACGTGACTCAACTCCTTCCTGGCCCTGCTGCTGCCCCTTCCAAGGCTATAAATTAATTAACTTACTTCTACTTCCCTCTGCCCAGCCCCTTCTTATTTGTCTGGAAAAGCAAAAATAAATAAAAAAGATGAACCAGATGAAATGTGGTTGGAGGGAGGTAAGTACCACTCAACTGGTCTCCTGTTCATTCGAGAGGCTTCTTGGTTACTCAAGGGTTTTGCTCCCTCAGGCTCCCTGCTGGTTCATGACTTTGTGTGTCTCCATTTCAAACTTGCAATAAGGAGAATCTGATTGGTAGAGTTAGTACCTGTCATCTCTGCTGGGCAAAGATCTCATTCCATATGGCCTCATAGTCTACTCTTAGGTGTCATTTTTCTTATTAAATGATTAATACATGGTACTTATGAAGTGACATTCTGAAAATATTTTTGATATTGAAAATATGTTTTTATACTTTAGAAGCCTGGAAACTACCATGCTATAGCATAGTATTTAATTGTTGGTAATCTGTATCTCTGATGATTTGAAAGCTAAACTCATCTCTGGAGATAAATCAATTCTGTGCTTCTTCAAATAAATTATATTCTGTTTATTAGAATCCAATTGATAATATGTAACATTTTCCTTTCATTGATAAGTGATTACAGTGATTTTCATCTTGGAAAACATTAATAATTCTACAGTCCTTGTTTTTAAAACACAGAAGCATATTTTTAAAAATAGACTTTATATTTTAGAGTAGTTTTAGGTTCATAGAAAAATTGAATAGATGATATATTTTCCATATATCTTCCGCCCCCACACATACATAGACTCTTCCATTATCAACATCCCCACTAGAGTGGTACATTTGTCACAAATGATGAACCTACATGTACACATCATTATCACTAGAATCCACAGTTTACATGATGGTTCACCCATTATACAAATGGACAAATGTATAATGATATATGTCTATCACTATAGTATCATACAGAGTAGAGCAACAGGAACCCTAAAAATCCTCTGTGCCCTACCTATCTATCCCTTCCTCCCACTTATCTCTGGCAAGCACTGATTATTTTTTTTTTTCTGTCTTTAAGTTTTACCTTCACTAGAATGGCATATAGTTGAAATTATACAGTGTGTAGCCTTTTCAAACTGCCTTATTTTACTTAGTAATATTTATGTAAGTTTCCTCTATGTCTTTTCATGGCTTGATATCTCATTCTCTTAGCACTGAATCATATTCCATTGTCTGGATGTACCACAGTTTATTTATCCATTCACCTACTGGGGGTATCTTGGTTGCCTCCAAGTTTTGGCAATTATGAGTAAAGCTGCTATAAGCATCTGTGTGCAGATTTTTGTGTAGGCATGTTTTCAGCTTCTTTGAGTAAATATCAAGGAGTGTGGTTACTGGATCACATGGTAACAATATGTTTAATTTTATAAGAAACTGGCAAACTGTCTTCCAAAGTGGCTGTACCAATTCGCATTCCTACCAGCAATGAGTAAGAGTTCCTGTAGCTCTACATCCTCACCAGTATTTGATGTTGTCAGTGTTCTGGATTCTCGTTGTTTTAACTTGCATTTCTCATATGATATGGAGCACCTTTTCATATGCTTATTTGTCATCTGTATGTCTTCTTTGGTGATGTGTCTTTTAAGGTCTTTGGTTCTTTATTTTTTAAGAGGTGAGGTCTCACTCTGTCGCCCAGGCTAGAGTGCAAGTGGCACAATCATAGTTCACTGGAGCCTTAAACTCCTGGGCTCAAATGATCCTCCTGCCTAAGCCTCCTGAGTAGCTAGGACTACAGGCATGTGCTACCACATTAGACTAATTTTTTATTTTTTGTAGAGATGGGGTCTCGCTATGTTTCCCAGGCTGACCTCAAACTCCAGGTCTCAAGCAGTCCTCCCTCTTAAAGGCTGGGATCACAGGCATGAGCTACTGCATCTGGCCTTTGGCTCGTTTTTTAATTGTTGCGGTATTTGGGTTCTTATTGCTGAGTTTGAGGCTTATTTTTCAAAATACAAGTCTAATAATTCTTCTGTTTTCTGGAACAATTGTATTAAAGTAACTTGTAAGATGATAAGCCTCCTAAATAAATCCAGTGCTCATGGGAGGGAAGGATGATAGCCCAATGAAATATAAGAAATTATATGACACATTTTAGTCAAGTTTAATTTTCTCTTGGCTCTAGCCATTCCTTTCCTACAGCTAGAGGATTCTTGGGTTTCACTTTTTTTTTTTTTTTTTTAAAGATGGAGTCTGTCTCTGTCACCCAGGCTGGAGTGCGGTGGCACGATCTCGGCTCACTGCAAGCTCCGCCTCCTGGGTTCTCGCCATTCTCCTGCCACAGCCTCGCGAGTAGCTGGGACTACAGGCGCCCGCCACCATGCCCGGTTAATTTTTTTGTAATTTTATTAGAGCCGGGTTTCAAAGTGTTAGCCAGGATGGTCTCGATCTCCTGACCTCATGATGTGCCCACCTCAGCCTCCCAAAGTGCTGGGATTACAGGAGTGAGCCACCTCGCCTGGCTGGGTTTCACTTTTACTTCTCCTGCAGAGGTGGTAATGCGTATGAAAGAAAGCAGAAAAAAAATACTTGCATACTTACATAATTTAAGATGCGTAACGCTTGGAATGTTTCAATTTCCTACTTAAGCAAAATACTAAATTCATTTTTGTTAATTTTAGTGAAAAAATAAGAAAGAGTATATTAAGAAGTCAAGAAACCTGTATTGGTGCCAGATCAAACATTGCAAATCAAGGCAGTGGCTCCACTGAGGTGACGTGTCTTGCAATTTTGATGTTTAATGGGGACTGATCTGGAAACCGAAATAGTGGTTAGCCTGGAATGGCTCAGGATAATTTATTGTAACTCAAATTTGTATTCAAACTAAGTAGGCAACTCTGGCGGATCTGAGATGGGAACAAAAGACTACGTTTCTCCCCTTAGAAGTCACAGAGAGGTTTACATTTCATAAAAATTATCTTGCATTTTGCTGTGCTTGTTGATACATGTAAAATCCAGTTGTGAGGTAAACAGGGGATTTTGAGAGAGCTGAGATTCTATGTAAACAAAACTTATATGCGTATTTTTGACTGCTAATTCAGAATTGTATTTGTGAGTGTCCAGAGCCTACTGGGAGATGAGAACGGTCTTCTGAGGCTTCCTTTGGCTGGGTTGGAGAAGGCTAGGAGCCTGGGGTGTGGCACACTGACGGAGTAGAGGGGAAAGAAGAGTGAATAGAAACAGGAAAAGGCAGAGCTCTTTTCCCCACCCTCTGTGGCTTACAGAAAAGGGAAACTGGACCCACCAAGTGCAACTGCAGGAGAACCAGCATTTCAGTGGTGAGATAAGCCCTCACACTAGCGCAAGCAGAAGTGCCAGCAGCCTGAAAGGGTTTTAACCCTAGGTTGATCAATGTAAATCTTAGAAAGCCACTTCCAAGCCCTGGGAAAGGTGTCTGTACCCAAATCCAAGAGGCAGGAACAGATGTGGTGGAACATTGGAAGCAAGATGATGAGTAACATGAATTGCTAGTCAAGCATCTGAAAAAAAGAGCCCTCAGTTATATTTTAGAGTTTATTTTTAAGAAGGGTTTGCTCTAAAAGTACTGTAGGAGAAATAAACAGGTAACTAGAGGGGACCCTGAGAGTAGCCACAGAAAGTCTTTTTGAGGAGTGCCAGTTGAGCTGAGGCCTGATGGATGAAATGAGCCAGACAAATGATGGGGATAGGAGGCAGAAAGAGGGAAAGAAATGCAAAGGGAAGAAATGGGTCACATTCTGGATTCCACTCTAACAGATCCAAGTCACTTTCCTGAATAGCTTACTGTATAAGTGGAAAGGTGACTAGTTATAGGAGTGTTACATGTTGGAGAAATGGGTAGGATTCAGTTTACATGGACCAAAACATGCAATAAGATCACTTCGGACCTCATTTTTATCATCATTCAATGATGCTTTCTTATGCCTCATTTTGCTTGACTTCTACCAAACACATTTCTGTCAACATGTAAGACATTTTTTCATATGCTGCCCTGCCTGGTCTTGAACTCCTGGGCTCAAACCATCCTCCTGCCTCAGCCTCCCAAGGTGTTGGGATTACAGGCATAAACCACTGCACTCTGCCTGTCCTACATTTCTAGCTGTTTATAAAACAGCTCCACCTGGATGTGATAGGCTTACTTTCCAAAACAGAAGACAAAATTCATGTTCCTTTCAGTATGGATTCTCTTCCTGACTTCCCCATTTGTGTTGGTGACTCCTATTGTCCTAGTGATGAAAATCTCAAAACTTTGTAGTGGCCAGGCATGGTAGCTCATGCCAGTAATCCCAGCACTTTGGGACGCAGAAGTGGGAGGATCACTTGAGCCTAGGAATTTGAGACCATCCTGGGCAACATAGCAAAACCCTGCCTCTATTTTTAATGTAAAAACAAAAATACTTTATAGTAACCTTTGCTTCCTCACCCCACTGGAGATTCAAATTCTGATGCAAATCATTGTGGAGTCTCTCAGAGTCATTTTTTCCTTCCCATTTTTACTGTTAACACTCATACTTTTTATCCTCCTTACTTTTCACAAAGATGATTTCAAATGTCTCCTATTAGAATTTTCACTGTATAGAGATTCTCTTCCCTGTGTTTTACCTTGCTCCTCTGCCAGGCTGTTTAAGAATCTACATGATTTCCATATGGTCTATTGGATTAAGAGAAAAAAATTTTAAATAAGATCTAGTAATTAGTCCCATTTGCTAAACAGTTTTCTCGTTCACTTTTCTCCAAACTGCATTCTCTGTCCATGTTATATTTGACATGCTTTGTGACATTGCCAGGATTCCTTCCATTTCTCAAAAAAAAAAAAAAAAAAAGAAAAGAAAAATAAAATCCCCTCTCGATCTCAAGTGAAACCCCTTTGGACCAGTTGTTCTCAAATATTAGTTCGTATTGAAATCACCTGGAGGGCTTGCGAAAGCCGATTGCTAGGCTCAACCCAGAGTTTCCAATTCATTAGAGGGTCAATAATTTGCATTTCTAACAAGTTCTCAGATGGTGCTGATGCTGCTTGTCAGGGACTGCCCTTTGAGAATCACTGATTTAGACCAGTACGTCTCAGCCCCAAGTTCCACATTAGATCACGCAGTGTAGGGTGTAGTGGATGCTGAGACTCTGCCCAGATATCCCTCCCAGGACTAAGATGCTCATTTCCCCCAGTGGCTGGGTGTGTCGGTTGCTGATGGCTCCAGCCATCTTCTCTAAGGATTATCCTTGTATATACCTTCTGTATCATGCCCCCCAGGTTGAGATTCAAAAAACAAACATCCACAGTTTTTTCATAACATTCTGCTGTGTCCCTTCCCAGTTAAGTCACTAAAAGATGACTGTCGACTGCCGTAAATTAGTTTTACCTATGTTCTTAAAATTTTAACAATTGAATTACTCAGTATGTACTCTTTTGTCTTCTTTCTCTCAATAAAGTGCCTATGAGATTCATCTACCTTGTTCCATGTGTCAGTAGTTCATAATTTTTATTGTTGTCTAGTATCCCCTTGTATCAATGCACTACAATTTATTTATCCATTCTCCTATTGAGGGACATTTGTGTTGTTTCCAGTTGTTGGATATATGCATTGTCAATCTCTTCAATCAGTCTGTGGCTTGTCTTTTCACTTTCCTGGTGATGTCTTTTAATAGTCTTATTTTAATTAAGTTAAACATTTTTTTCTTTTATGATTATCTTTTGTTTTGTCTCTTCAAGAACTCTTTTCCTACACCTGAGGCTTTAAAAGATACTGATGGCCAGGACTCACTCAGACCAATTAAATCAGGATTATGGGCATTTTTAAAAAAAGCTTCTCAGGTGATCCTAAAGTATAACTAGATTTGAGAACCAGAAGACTCAGACTGTGAGCTTCTTGAGGGTAGAAATTGTGACTGCTTGTTTATACAGCTCAGGACTCAATGCTGGACACCGTGGTGCTTCATAATCACCGGGTGATTTTTGATGAATTTAATTCATCTCTCCAAGATCATCTCAAATTCCATGTTTTCTAAGAATCCTTCACATTATTACCAATAGTCTTATTCTCAGAATATTTTGCCCTATAAGTGTTTCTTAATTGCTGTTATTAGTCCATTTTCACACTACTATACAGAACTACCTGAGACTGGGTAACTTATAAAGAAAAGAGGTCTAATTGACTCACAGTTCCACCTGGCTGGGGAGGCCTCAGGAAACTTACAATCATGGCGGAAGTCAAAGGGGAAGCAATACATGCCTTACATGGCACAGGAGAGAGAGTGCAAAGTGGGAGGTGCCACACACTTTTAAACCATCAGATCTCGTGAGAACTCACTCATGAGCCATCACTAGGGCGATGGTACTAAACAATTAGAAACCACCCCCATGATCTAATCACTTCCCACCAGGCCCCACCTTCAACACGTGGGAATTACAGTTTGAGATGAGATTTGGGTGGGGAGACAGAGCCAAACCATATCAATTGCTTTAAGTATTTACACCTTCTCTCCCCAATCAATTTGCAAAACTGTTAGGATAAAGAATGTTTACGGGAAGCCCTTATTGTCTCTTTCTCCTGTTTCTATGAGGAGATTTGGCTCCAATCTCTGGAAGGAATATTATCTTTGTCCATATGGACTGCTATAACAAAGTACCATGAACTGGGTAGCTTATAAACAACAGAAGTTTGTTTCTCACACAACTAGAGGCTAAGAAGTCCAGGATCAAGACACTTGCAGATTTGGGTTTTGGCAAGGGCTTTCTGCTTCATAGATGATGTCTTCTTGCTGTGTCTTCACGCTGTGGAAGGGGCTATATAGCTTTCTGGGGTCTCTTCTATAAGGACATTAATCCCAATCACGAAGGCTCCACCCTCATAATGTACTTTCCTCCCACAGGCCCCACCTCTTAAATATCATACCTTTGGGGTTAGGATTTTAACATATGAATTTTGGGGAAATGCAAACATTCACACCATAGTAAACCATTTTGAAATATTATTTCCACCTCCTCTCTCCATCCCCTCATCTTTCCTCTTCCTCATCCTCCCTCCCCTGAGAAGTAACTAACATGCTGGTAAGATGGAGAGAGAGAGTCCAGTGGACTTCCCACTCCTTGGACAGTGAAAACCAGGATTCCTCTTATTCTCTCTCTTCCCCTACCAGCTGTTCATATCACTAAGAGGATGCCAGGGCCCTCTTGGCCTCTTCTATGTAGTTAAAATATGAAGTTTAGTTAGCCAATTAAACTTCTCTACCTGGATTTGGTTGGAGAGGTTATATTCATGCAGATTCTGAGGTTCAGGGTATCAAAGTATGATGAGACTATCATCCCATACTAAAAATAAAAAAGACAAAATCGAATGGATTGTTAAGCATAGCAAAGGAAGTACAGTCTCTTGGAGCAGACCGCTAATTTATATAGAGTCTCACGGAAGTGTGAAGTTCAGTGACTGGCGAAGTTGCAGAGGCTTAAGAGCTTCAACATCATCCGCAGAGGTGTGGGTACACAGATGAGGCTATTGGTAATTGGTTGTCACTATAGTGTATTTATTGAGGTGAGTCTGTGATTGGCTGGCTTTCAGAAGTAAGCAGCTAATGCTGATTGTAAACAACTTGTAAAAGCTCTTCACCAAAGCAAATTGTTGTTGCTGGCTTGACCAGGTTCCAAACTGGTTCTGAGTGCCACTTATTGATATGGCTATAGGGCAACCAGGCCTTTCCAAGGGGGTGGGAATTTATTTTCTTCCCCATTCAGCTTTACTGGTAGTAAAGCTGGCACTGTCCTTTTATCATCTTCAGGCTCCTTGTGCACGTTTCTCCAACCGGTTAGAAGCTGGAGAGAAGAAGTGATTGGTGCTGCTAAACTTCCCAAGGCCAGGAGGATTAGGGCTGAAATAGGCCACTTATAGCAGGAAGGAACTTATGAATTCATTCAATTTAGAGAGTTTTCAAACATTTCAAAACAATGCAAACACCTCTTTAAGAAGAAAACTTAATGTAACCTATGAACTAGCACCCGTCTCCCCTTTATCTAGGACATAGGGAGAAAGCAGATGTTTCTGTCTTTCACCCCCAGTAAGGTGGTTACTTGGAAGCTGAAAGTAGATGTCTCCCAATCTTCTGCATTGATTCTGGCTTCGCTGTGCACCTCGGTCACTTTGCTGCTGGTCATTTCCTTGAAGCCCTGTGCGCAGGCCCTGGTTGGGATGTGATCTCCTCAATCTGGGGCTAGATAGGGGAAGAGAATGTGGTATAATGCAGATTTTGATTCAGTAGGTCTTAGGTGGGGCTAGAGATGATGCATTTCTACCAAGTCCCCAGGTGATGCCCATCCTGTTGATGTGCCACCACAGTTTGAATAGAAAGGGATCACATTCATAGGCAAGGGATCATTAGGAAAAACGGGAGGCTGTGGACACAGCTAAGTCCACAACACATTGCATGGACTTGACACTTAAGGTGGAGTCTAAGCTGGGCTTGGGGTCTGCACAGCAGGTCCCCGTTGTGACCCTTTCACTGCAGTGAGTTGCAGTCATCAGGACAGATTTATGACTTTGGGGGGCTGTGGGCACTTTGCTTTCATAAACCCTGTCCTCGTAAAAATATTAAAAATTGTATTTTATGACTACACTGGCCCAAAGAGGAGTGTAATCCAGGCTGAATTCATTATTATATGTAATTGTATATATATATACATGTATTTGGATTTTAATAGAAATGAAAGTTACAACATTTTTGTGGGCCCCTAAAAGTGTCATGGGCCCTAGGCACCGTGCCTAACAGAGAAGTCAACTATAGTGAGTCTGCCTGCTGGACCAAACATACACAACTGCCAGGAGAAAAGCACTTTTCAGAAGCAGTGCTGTCTAAATTACTAAGAAGCATAAAAATGTTTTCTTAACTGCCTTAAATTTGCAAAGCATCTCCCTTTCTGTGGCACGATATTAATATTCAGCATAGAAATTAATTCAATTTGTTCATTCCCCTCCCTGCTGCTTTCCAAATTGTGCTCATTCGGATTTGTCATGAATAAAAGAAAAGGGTGTAATATTTTAATGGCTGCATTCTTAATTACAAAAAGAGGAGCTTTGAGACTCTTCTCCAGGAAGAGCTTGATTACATTTTTCGTCAGGGGCCTGCTCCATTTCCATCTACAGATATTTTATTCTTACAGTTACAATGTAGAAAACAGATGCAAGTGGAACTGCTCTGGCTGAAGTGGGGGCTGGGGTCCTGCCTGCATGGCTTCTGCTCCATACGTCCTGGGAGGCCAGTACACCTTTGGGGAATACCAGGGCTCTGCAGAACCCAATTTGTGAGCCCCCAGTGGAATCCACAACCCCTACCACACTTTATACATAAGGAATCAGAGGGCCAGAGAGTGTGATTGTGTCTTCTATTTTTAATTTTTATTACTTTATTACTTTATTTATTTATTTATTTATTTTGACTTTTTAGAGTCAAAGTCTTGCTTTGTTGCCCGGGCTGGAGTGCAATAGCACGATCATAGCTCATGGTAACTTTGAATTCCTGGGCTCAAGTGATCCTCACACCTCAGCCTCCCGAGTAGCAGGTGTGTACCACTAAGTCCGACTTCTTCTATTTTTTAAATCATAAAGTTTGATGTGTTTCCAGGTATACTTGCTTATTAGTGTAGATACTTGCCTTCCTTCTAGACAGAATGATGACTCACTACTCTGCTACTCTGAATGATTTTGATCCCCGAACCACACCCTGACTTCCTGGAGGAAAAAAAGAAAGGCTGGGATGGAATTGTCAAGGTGAACAATGATGTCCTTCTACCTAGAAAGAAGTAGGGATTGCTAATAATAATAACACAGAGGTACTTAAAACAGGTAAGGCCCTGTTCTAAACACTTGACAGGTGTTGCTGTATATACTTGGCGGCAGTGCTAGGAGGTGGGTGTCCATGCTAACGAAGGTACAGAGAGTTTCAGTAACTTTTCTAGGGTCACTCATTACCCAATTTTGGAGTTAGGTCATTGACCTAGCCAGTTTGCCTCCAGGGTCTGGCTGTTAACCCATCTTCAGTGGGAATAACCCTAAAAGTTCCCATCCTAGTGTTGACATTTTCTGCTTCAGAGAAGACATTTTTTCCTCTTGATTTTTCACTTAGCTTCTGTTGCCTTCCAAGGAATTAAGAAATCTTCAGAGCATCCTTCCTTGTCTAGTGGTATTGCTCGCCTCACTCTCAAAATCCATCTCCAGACAAGAACTTCAGGTCATGATTCTAGTTGATCCCCATATTTGTGCTCATGAGGAGTGAATTTCCATGTGGAACTGTCTTGGGGGCTTAGAGTGGAGATCCTGGGGGCTGCTTTGGAGTCAGAGCTGGAGCCAGGTTAAGATTGTCTCCAGACCTCAGAGCCCTTGCTGTCTGTCCCCACCAGCATTCTCCCAACAGGCATGCCCTCCATGCCTGGACACTACGTCTGCATCTCAGCACTGAGCCCTTCCTACTTGACCAGTAAGTCAAGCTGTATCCATGCCCAGAGAACTGTGCAACACACAGAGCTCTTGTCAAAACCAAGCTTGATGCTCTCCTATCTCTGGCAGGCAGTTAAGTGTTCAGACAAAAGATAGCTTCTGGGGCAGCCAGCCTACAAACAGTGCTGGTCTTATTACTTACTAGCTTGGAGACATTGAGTAAGCAATTGAAGCACATGCAATTGTACCTCCCGTTTCTTATCAACACAATAGAAAATATTGATAGTATCTGTGTCATTTAGCTGTTGTAAAGAATGATTGAGATAATACAGGTAAAGCACTTAGGACAGTGCCTGATTCATAGCGAAGAATTAATACACAGTAGCTTTTATTCCTATGAGATGGTTGGCAATGGGAAAGAAGTCGAAGTGGCCTCCTATGATGATTTGAGTATATTTTAACACTAGAATTCTCAAGGTATCTTTCAGCACCCGAGTGGACCCTCTTCCATTGTATAATCAAAGAAACACACATCTCTCAGCCTGAGGATAAAAGTCTCCATCCACAGGCCAGGTGCAGTGTGGCTCATGCCTGTAATTCCAGCACTTTGGGAGACCAAGGCAGGTGGATCACCTGAGGCTAGGAATTTGAGACCAGTCTGGACAACATGGTGAAGCTCCGTCTCTACTAAAAGTACAAAAAAATTAGCCAGGCATGGTGGCACGCACCTGTAATTCCAACTACTCGGGAGGCTGAGCCAGGAGAATCGCTTGAACCCAGGAGATGGAGGTTGCAGTGAACCAAGATCGCGCCATTGTGCTCCAGCCTGGGAGACAAGAGTAAAACTTCATCTTAAACAAACAAACAAAAAGTCTCTATCTACTTATGCTCCTTACAGTTGGGTGGGGACCAAGCAGAGGCCAGTTAGCAACATTAGTTTTCTGGGAGTTGTCAAACTAACTCACCCCAGTGAAGCTGACTCCACGATGTCTGTTAGTCATAGTCTGGGTTATATTACCGAATCACATCTGATTCACTGGTTTCACCTCCACCAGCAGAAAATCTGTGTACAACTCCATGGGCAGACACTCCCAACCCTGTGCTCAGCTTTCTTCCACATCAGTATTCCTCTAGCTATGCTCTTGACTTCGTTTTGTCTGAGATTTTGTACCATCCCTAAAGGATACCCTTTTATAGCTTGGCCTTCTTGCCTTAACCATTTTCTTTTTTTAAATAACAACTTTTATTGTGAAAAATATATAAATATATAAACCCGTGTTGTGGTGGACACTGTGAGGTGCTGCTCAGTTCCTTTCAGGAATGAAGGACTTTGTCTCGGCTGCTGGGAACATTGCCAGCAAAAAGCCTTTAGTTGTCAGCACCCTGTGTGGATGGCCTCAGCTGATGAGAGCGTCTTTGCCAAAGTTCAAGATCGTCTCCCAGGTGGGCTGCATGCAGTGACTGACTAACATGGTGTATAAAGAGCTGTCTCCCACCACCAAATCAGGAAAACTCCGAAGGGCCATCCGAGGTTCAAAACTCTCTATGTGGTTGACCAAGACCTCCACTGAGACTGCTTTGCCGATCAAATTCTTCCCCTACTGGATTCTGCTTCCTTCAATTTCCTCCCACGGTTGTTGATTCCAAGAACACACCCAGATAAATCTCTTATATAATAATCTCCATCTCAGAGGCTGTTTCCTATAATCCCAACTTCTGATAGGTGTATAAAGCATTTACGTTGTTTAAAGAAGAATAAACATTCATGCACCCTCCATCCATCCAGCTAATGACTTATCTTGCCAGTGCTTTGAAGCCACTATGTCCCCCTTTCCCCATTGCATCCCCTTCCTGCCTGCACCTTCACCCCAGGTAACTACTATCCTGAGTTTTGTGTTAATCATTGTTTTGTTTTTCTTTATATTATTATCCTAAATAATAGGACAAATGTCCCAAAATATTTATCCCAAGAGGTAAGTGTTTATTTGGGGTAATAATATAAAGAAAAGCAAAATAATGATATGTGTATATATATATATATATATATATATAAAATATACACACACATTATATATATGTGTGTATATATATATGCATATATATTTCAGTCCTTTCCTTCAATATTATGTTTTTGAGCTTAGCATGGAAGCGCGCACAAAGGATGCTCCGTTACTGTTTATTCTCATTTTTTTTTTCATAATTACAGATTCCTTCTCACAGCCCTCCACAGGAACTAATCCTGTTGACTCTTTGATCTCAGACTTCTGGCCTCTAGAACTATGGGAGAATCCATTTCTGTCGTGTAAGCAAGCCAGCTGGTTTGTGGTACTTTTTTTTTTTTTTCTTTGAGATGGAGTCTCCCTCTGTTGCCCAGGCTGGAGTGCAATGTTGTGATCTTGGCTCACTGCAACCCCCACCTCCTGAGTTCAAGCGATTCTCCTGCCTCAGCCTCCTGAGTAGCTGGGATTACAGGTGCCTGCCACCACATCCGGATCATTTTTGTATTTTTAGTAGAGATGGGGTTTCACCATGTTGGTCAGGCTGGTCTCGAACTCCTGACCTCAGGTGATCCACCCACCTTGGCCTCCCAAATTCCTGGGATTACAGGCATGAGCCACCCTGCCTGGGCTGTTTGTGGTACTTTGTTATGGCAGTCCCAGGAAATTAATGTACTCTTCTCTGCCTCCCTTCTGTCTGTATGTTCTATGGGCCCAATTGTGAGAGGAAAGCAGTCATACAGGGTATACATGTTTTGATAAGTCTGAGCTTCTATCAAAGGAAGTAGTCTAAAAATGCTGGACAACTTTTCAAAGTAAATCCTTGTTAAAGTTGGGAAAATTGAGTACTGATTCAGCTTTTCAGTTTCTGGGGAAAAAAATAAGAAAGGCAGCAGACACTAAAAACAGAAGCATTCTGACACCAGAGCTAGGCTGAGAGGAGTGTTAAGGGACAGGTGCCGCTGAAATCTTTGATTCTGAGTTGCAGGAGCAGGAAGTGTGGCCATCAGGTAGATGCTGGGCAACAGGAGCTGACAGGTAGAAAAGGGCTAATTCGCACCCAGCTAGAGGGGAACTCAGGTGCCAGAGAAGCTGGAGGTCAGAACCAGGAGACCCCAGGCAAGATGCTGAGGGTGGAGTGAGGGGATGCAGGGCAAGGACTTTGGCTGAGACAGTAGCTGAGCCTCCACTGAGCCTTCCTCTTCTGATATATGTAAGTGTGTTTCATTAATCACAGCAGCATCCATGTTCCCTTGAAAAACAGTAATATATATGAATGTATATCTGTATTCACATTATGTACCATGTATCAGGTGTTCAATCTATGAACAATACTTGGGTTGTTCATGGCAGTGCTTCTCAAACTCTTATGCTGGAGTATTTTCAATGGCAAAAGAAGTGTAACCAGGAGCCTGAAAGTGTACTTTACTTTGAAATTTGTATTCTATGATGTATTTTTAAACCTAACCACTAACTCCTTCTCCTCGTGTGCTGAACCAATCTTCCAGTAAAATTGTCATGTGACTTCACTCATTTGCTGGTGTGTTGCCACTGACTCAAGGGTTATATACACCTGGGTGAGAAACATAGGCATATAAACTGGGGATCCCTTACCATTACTTAGGGCCTTCTGAAGCATCTACAGATGACAAATCGATACTTGGGGTAATCAGATAAGAGAAATTTTATATAAATGAAACTATGCCAACATGTTACTTTCTCCAGTTTACATTTATTTTCCAATAAATATTTCACAAATGACCCTGAGTGATACAATGGTCAGGACAGGTCAGCAGGGGAAAAATACAGGTAGATACATTTAGTTTTTAAAAATAAGCTTTTACTTTTAGAACAGTTTTAGATATACAAAAAAATGTGGCCAGGTGCAATGGCTCATGCCTGTAATCCCAGCACTTTGGGAAGCCAAGGAGGGCAGATCACTTGAGCCCAGGGGTTTGAGACCAGCCTGAGCATCATAGCAAGGTCCCCATCTCTACAAATAATTTTAAAAATTAGCTGGGCATGGTGAGGTCACCTGTAATTCCAGCTACTCAAGAGGCGGAGGCAGGAGAATTGCTTGAACCTGGGAGGCAGAGGTTGCAGTGAGCTGAGATCGCGCCACTGCACTCCAGCCTGGGCAACAGAGCGACACTCTGTCTCAAAAAAAAAAAAATTGATGTACAGAAGAATGTGAAGATAGTACGCAGTGTTCCCCCATATGCCACCTAGTTTCCCATATTATTAACATATGACATTAGTATGCTACATTTGCCACAATTGTTAAACCAAAATTGATATACTATTATTAACTGAAGCCTCTAGTTTATTCAGATTTCCTCAGTTTTTAGGTAATGTTCTTTTTTTTTTCTTTTTTTTATTTTTGAAACAGGGTCTCACTCCATCACTCAGGCTAGAGTGTGGTAGCACAATCATGGCTCACTGCAGCCGTGATTTCCTAGGCTCAGGTGATCCTCCTACCTTAGCCACCTGAGCAGCTGGGACCACAGGTACACGCCACCATGCTGGCTGATTTTTAAAATTATTTGTAGAGATGGGGATCTTGCTATGTTGCTCAGGCTGGTCTCGAACTCCTGGGCTTAAGTGATCTGCCTTCCTTGGCCTCCCAAAGTGCTGGGATTATAAGCGTGAGTCATCACAACTGGCCACATTTTTCTGTATATCTAAAACTGTTCTAAAAGTAAAAGCTTATTTTTAAAAACAAAATGTATCTACCTATATTTTTCCCCTGCTGACCTGTCCTGACCATTATATCACTCAGGGTCATTTGAGAAATATTTATTGGAAAATAAATGTAAACTGGAGAAAGTAACATGTTGGCATAGTTTCATTTATATAAAATTTCTCTTATCTGATTACCCCAAGTCTCAATGCTAGGAGTACAGGTGGGAGCCACCATGCCATGCCATCACGTTCTTTTTCTGTTCTAAGATCTCATCTAGGACACTGCATTATAGTTAGTCCTCATGTCTCCTTAGGTCCCCTTGGCTGTAACAGTCTTTCAGACTTTCATTGCTCTTGATGACCTTGATAGTTTTGGGGAGCACTGGTTAGATATTTTGTAGACTGTCCCTCATTCGGGATTTATCTGACATTTTCCCCATGATTAGACTGGGGTTGTGTGTTTTCAGCAGGAAGACCACAGAGGTCAAGTGCTGTTTTCACCATATCATATTAAGGTTGCCTACGACCAACATGACTTAGCATTGTTGATGCTGACTTTGATCACCTGGCTGAGGTAGTGTCTGCCAGGTTTCTCTACCGTAAAGTTCTCATTCTCTCCCCCTTTCCATGACTGTACTCTTTGGAAGGAAGTCACTATGCTCAGATCCTACTTAGGGAATGGGGGATTATGCTTGACTTTTTGAGGGAGGAGAGGCTATGTAAATTATCTGGAATTCTGCATGGGAGACTTTTCCCTTCTCCTCCATTTATTTATTCAATCATTTATATTACTACTGATTTATGAATATTTATTTTATACTTTAGGTTATAATATGATATTTCCTTTTATTTTTATTTATTTATTTTTTTTGTGACAGAGTCTCACTCTATTGCCCAGGTTGGGGTGCAGTGGTGTGATCTCGGCTCACTGCAACCTCTGCCCTCCGGGTTCAAGCGATTCTCCTTCCTCAGCCTCCCAAGTAGCTGGGATCACAGGTGCCTGCCACCACGCTCGGCTAATTTTTGTGTTTTTAGTAGAGATGGGGTTTCACCATCTTGGACAGGCTGGTCTTGAACTCCTGACCTCGTGATCCACCCGCCTTGGCCTCCCAAAGTGCTGACACACCGCGCCCGGCCTATGATATTTCTTTATATTGTTGCTCAAATTGTACCAGCTTTGGCTACTGGGCACTCTTTCAGTTAGGTTTTATGTCCCCATCATTGTGTATCTTTACACAATGTATATACATGTATCTTTATTTTAGGATTTTCTTACTTTTCTAGCACTGGAAAATGCTCCAGGATCATCTTGTTTGGTGGGTATTTTCAGGACTTACCAAAATAACATCAAGCATCTTTCTTTCTGTAGGGATTTGCCCAATTACTGTGTATTTCCAAAAGGACTATCTTATTTATTTCCTGCCCCAGTCTCAAATGCATGAGTTAATGACCTATAAAAATCCACAGTAGGCTGGGCGTGGTGGCTCACGCTTGTAATCCCAGCACTTTGGGAGGCGGAGGTGGCAAATAACCTGAGGTCAGGAATTCGAGACCGACCTGGCCAACGTGATGAAACCCCATCTCTACTAAAAAAATACAAAAATTAGCTGGGTCCTGTAATCCCAGCTACTTGGGAGGCTGAGGCAGGAGAATTGTTTGAACCCATGAGGCAAAGCTTGCAGTGAGGCGGAGGTTGCAGTGAGCCGAGGGTGTGCCATTGCACTCCAGCCTGGGCGACAAGAGCAAAACTCCGTCTCAAAGCAAAAAAACAAAAAACACCACAGTAATGAAATACTTGTCTTGTGACAAAGCAAGAAACAAGACAAACACAGAACTGCCTGCACATACTATACCATAGCAGAACAGACCCCCACAGCCAACAGATTCCAGAAAGAACAGCATGAAATCAATGGGAGATATTACAAGTTCAAAATGGTAGGTACATAGAACAGGCCACTGAAGACTGATCACCTTTGAGGTAGAAACAAGTGGCAGTGTAGGAAGCAGGAAATGGAGAAATTAAAAAGCAGACCAGCCAAACTTGTTACAGTAGGCAAAGTTCTCTTTGCCAGAAGCAGGATGGATTCTAATATTGTTATCAAGTACAATCATTTACTTAAACTTTCATTTTGTAAAAGGTACTGTGGATTTTCCTCCTAGTTCTGACATTTTAGGAAGAGTTCTTGGTTTTCTCAGACTTTCTCACACTTTCATTAAGAATGAAAATGTAGAGTGGTTTCATTTAGCCAGGTCTCATGGAAGGCTCTGTAAGTGAAGCCCACCCCAAGCTAGGAATTCTGTCTATTGCTCTTAATCTTCAATGCTTTTGCAGACCATTAACTCAGGAGTCCTCACTTTGTCACTGAAGTAAGTAAGCACAAAACAAAGGTTGCATTTCTTTGGAGAACCGAGAATCATCAGTCAAAAGCAGACAGAATTTTGCCTCAAGTCTTATCCTTCTCTTTTCAGACTTCCTTTTCTAGCTCTAGCTTCTTGTTTCTTACCACTCCTATCTCTTTGGGTTTTGCTCTCACTTTGAAAATCTGACAAACGGAGCGGCCAACACAGTAATGATAATTATTTTTTGCATGGGAGAAACTTTCCTAGGTACTTTTTAGCAGGGATTTTATAAAGACAATATGCTAATTTTAATGGTAGGAAGAACAGATCTTAAGAGGTAGGGAAGATTGTTTGGGCCAGAAGAGGCCTTATGCTACAGTTGAGATGCATATCCTGCTTTCGTCTTTCAGATATTTTTAGGGAATAAAAGACTCTCCACTCCCTGCAAAAAAGAGGCTTATATTAATAGTGCATTTTCACCATTAGTGGTGACTCTGCTATTTAACAGTTCTAGCAGTTATTAGTGTTCCCAGTGTTTTCAAGACCCACCAAAAGGATACCAAGCATCTCCCTTCCTTTTGGCATCTAATCAGATGCTCCGTATTTCCAAGGACTATTAAAAGAATGGATTTGTGTATTTGGTCCAGGAATTCCAAAATAACCTGGAACTGTCATAATAAACAGATTTCTGAGCTGGGTGTGGTGGCTTACGCCTGTAATCCCAGGACTTTGGGAAGTCTAGGTGGGCAGATCACCTAAGGTCAGGAGTTTGAGACCAGCCTGGTCACCATGGAGAAACCCCAACTCTACTTAAAAAAAAAAAAAAAAAAACCAGAAATAAGCTGGGCATGGTGGCGCATACCTGTAGCCCCACCTAGCTGCTTGCGAGGCTGAGGCAGGAGAATTGCTTAAACCCGGGAGGCAGAGGTTGCAGGGCTGAGATCATGCCACTGTACTCCAGCCTGGGCAATAGAGTGGTAGAGTGAGAATCTGTCTCAAGAAAGAAAACAAAAAAACAGATTACTGGCTTTTTTTTTTTTTTTAAACCAACTAATTATAAGATACATGTGAAATAAAGAATGTTGTTAACTGGTCATTTTCTAAGTGGCAAACAGAGAAGAGAGGAGGTGATGACTATCAGTTCTTAAACACCAGATTTCAAAGTGTTTGAGATTTAACATAAATTATTAAGTAGGGGTTCCAGAATATATGATTTCTATTCTTCATCACTTTTTGAATTGGAAATACTAAAAAGTAACTATGTATGACTTATCTTCTGTGGCTACTTCTAAAATGATAATTTGGAACCGCAACTTCTTTATAATGCACGTTTAATGAGTGGCTGTATGTATTTATCTTTAATGTCTTTATTTTCTCCATCAACAAGTGTTTATTAGTAACATATTATTATATCCCAGGAAGACTGATAGAGATGCAAAAATAAAACATAAGCTCACAATGTGGCAACAAGTTAATAAATAATTGTAATATAACTTGAAAAGTAAAATTACAAACGTATGTATTAGGGAAAGTGGCAGCACAGAAAAATCAGGGCCAATGTGGAATTTGGTAGATTGGGGAAGATTTTGCAGAAGAGGAGATCCTTGAGTTGGGTATTAAAGGAAGAGTATGAGTTTAACATCTCCCAGACAGATGGGAGGGGTGGGGGCTGATGGAAAGGCATTTACAGATGAAGGAACAGTCTGTATGAGAGCAAAGACAGGAAAATGGAGGACATGTAAAAGTCTTTTGGAGTGGCTGGAGCATAGGTGAGTATCGAAGAGCTGTGAACTGTGGTGCTCATGGAGGCAGCGGCCTAATCACTGAGGTCCTTTTCAAACTTTACTTAGGACCGTGTATAAAAGGTGGAAACTTTGGAGGTTAACTGAAAATGTGTGTATTAGAAAAATTGGAAATTGAATTTAGAAATGGTGAAACTGGAGAGAGAAAGGCCAATTAGGAGACCATTTAAGAGGTTAAGGTAAAAGATAACAAGAGCCTGAGGTAAGGCAGTAGAAAAACAAAAGAAGACAAAGACATAAGAGATGTTTAAGTGATAGAATTTTAGGCAGGGCCTGGTGGCTCATACTTAGAATCTCAGTGCTTTGGGAGGGTGAGGTGGGAAGATCACTTGAGCCCAGGAATTTAAGACCAGCCTGGGAAACACAGGGAGAGCCTGTCTCTACAAACAAAAAAATAATAATAAATTTAGCCAGATGTGGTGATGTGCATCTGTGGTCCCAGCTATTCAGGAGGCTGAGGTGGAAGGATGGCTTGAGACTGGGAGGTTGAGGCTGCAGTGAGCCATGATTGTTCCACTACACGCCAGCCTGGATGATAAAGTGAGACCCCATCACACACACACAAAAAAGATATAGAATTTTAATAACTACTTGAGCCTTGGGAAACACTAACATTTAAAGTGTGGGTGCTGTCACTGCAGTGGTACTGCCCTTGCTGCCTGCTGACCAGGGAAGGAGCAAAAACCCTGAGTGCTTTAGCCACACCTCCAGCAAGCTGCAGTTGCCCTAAGGAGAGGCCAGTTTGTCTCCCCCAGGTGTCATCCACCCTGCTGCTTATTACCAGGCAGGGTCTTACCGGCTTGGGTCCACAGCACAGCCAGCCCATTCTGGGCTGATCATAGTGACTGATAGCTGGTCTGCATCTTTCTGGGGTGAAACCCCAAGAGACAAGTGAAAGCCCCTCTGCCACAACCACTGCTAAAGTTCCTTCCCCTGTTGCCTTCAAGCTGGGGAGGGAACATAAAGCCCAAGATCGCCCGGGAGCTGCAATGTGCAACCTGTGGGTGCCAAGCTGAGATCTGTAGCCAGCAATCAAGTGGGAGAGAAACCTACACTTTCAGAGCACTGAAAGGTAGATGGCTGCAATTAGGAGAAAATACAGAGGAGCCACGTGACTGAGCAAAAGCCTACCTACTTCCATTATGTTTAAGTGCCACCTACTGAATCACAGCCCCAAACTTCAACACCAAAAATGCTTTGCTAATATACCCCTCTGTGAAACCAAGGACAATAATTCAGCTTCAAATAAAGACTCTACACAAATTTTCGATCCTCTGAAAACATCCAGGAAATAAGTCTACTGACTGTATTCGATTTATACCACAGTTAAAGGCCACCAGCTCACACAGATGAGAAACAACCAGAGCAAGAACTCTGGCAATTCAAAAAGCCACAGTGTCTTCTTTCCTCCAAATGACTAAACTTGTTTCCCAGTAAGAGTTCTTAACTGGACTGAAATGGCTGAAATGACAGAAATAGAATTCAGAATATGGATAGAAATTAAGTCCATTGAGATCCAGGAGAACATCAAAATTCAATCCAAGGAAGCTAAGAATTACAATAAAATGATACAGGAGCTTATAAGCAAAATAGCCACTATAAAAAGAACCTAACAGATCTAATAGAGCTGAAAAATAGTCTACAAGAATTGCGTACTGTAATCACAAGTATTAGCAGCAAAATAGATCAAACTGAGGAAAGAATCTCAGAACCCTCTGAAATAGTCGGACAAGAAAAAAGAATAAAAAATAATGAATAAAACCTCTAAGAAATATGGGATTATGTAAATCTACAACTCATTGGCATCCCTGAAAGGGATGGGGATAAAGCAAGCAATTTGGAAAATATATTTTAGTGTATTATCCATGAAAACTTCCCCAACTTCACTAGAGAGGCCAACATTCAAACTCAGGAAATGCAGAGAACTCCTGCAAGATATTACACAAGAAGACCATTCCTAAGACACATAATTATCAGATTCTCCAAGGTCAAAATGAAAGAAAAAATATTAAAGACAGCTAACAAGAAGGGGCAGATTACCTACAAAGGAAATTTCATCAGGCTAACAGCAGACCTGCCTTACAAAAGGTCCTGAAAGGAGCACTAAATATGGAAAGGAAAGACTGTTACCACCACTACAAGAACACACTTAAGTACACAGACCAGTGACACTATAAACAACTATACAAACAAGTCTCCATAAAAAATCAGCTAACAACATGATGATAGGATCAAATCCACACATATCAATACTAACCTTGAATGTAAGTGGGCTAAATGCTTCAATTAAAAGGCACAGAGTGGCAAGCTGGATGAAGAAGCAAGACCCAATGGTATGCTGTCTTTGAGAGAACCATCTCACATACAATGACATCCATTGGCTCAAAATAAAGGGTTGGAGAAAAATCTACCAAGCAAATGAAAAACAGAAAAAAGCAGGGGTTGCTATCTGAATTTCAGACAAAACAGATTTTAAACTAAAAAAGATTAAAAAAAAAAGATAAAGAAGGCCATTACATAACGGTAAAGGACTCTATTCAACAAGAAGACCTAACTATCCTAAATATACACGGACCCAACATAGGAGCAGATTCATAAAGCAAGTTCTTAGAGACCTATGAAGAGACTTAACTTCCCACATAATAATTCTGGGAGACTTCAACACCCCACTGACAGTATTAGAGGGATCATTGAGGCAGAAAATTAACAAAGATATTCAGAACATGAACTCAGCACTTGACCAAATGGACCTATTGTACATCTACAGAACTCTCCACCCCAAAATGCCAGAATATTCATTCTTCTCATCAACACATTGCACATACTCTAAAGTTAACCACTCAATTGGACATAAAACAATCCTCAGCAAATGCAAAAAAAAGCCCCAAATCATACCAACCACACTCTCAGACCACAGTGTAATAAAAATAGAAATCAAAACTAAAAATCACTCAAAACCATACATGGAAATTATACAACCTGCTCCTGAATGACTTTTGAGTAAATAATGAAATTAAGGGAGAAACCAGAAAGTTCTTTGAAACTAATGAGAACAAAGATACAACATGAAGAATCTCTGGGATGTAGCTAAAGCAGTGTTAAGAGGGAAGTTTATAGCACTAAACACCCACATCAAAAAGTTAGGAAGATCTCAAATCAACAACCTAACATCACAACTAGAAGAAATAGAGAAGCAAGAGTGTACCAACCACAAAGCTAGCAGACGACCAGAAATAACCAAAATCAGAGCTGAACTGAAGGAGATTGAGATGTGAAAAACCATACAAAAAATCAATAAATCCAGGAGTTGGTTATTGGAAAAAAAAAATAAGATAGACTGCTAGCTAGACTAATAAAAAAAAGAGAGAAGATCCAAATAAACACAATTAGAAATGACAAAGGGGATGTTACCACTGACCCTACAGAAATACAAAAATTCATCAGAGATTACTATGTACACCTCTATGCACACAAACTAGAAAATCTAGAAGAAAAGGATAAGTTTCTGGACACATACAACCTCCCAAGACTGAACCAGGAAGAAATTGAATCCCTGAACAGACCAATAATGAAACTGAATCAGTAATAAAAAGCCTACCAACCAAAAGAAGTCCAGGACAGATGGATTCACAGCCAAATTCTACTAGATGTATAAAGAAGAGCTGAGACTCTTTCAGAAAATTGAGGAGGAGGGACTCCTTCCCAACTCATTCTATGAGGCCAGCCAGCATCATTGTGATACCGAACCCTGGCAGAGACAACGAAAAAAGAAAACTTCAGGCCAATATCTTTGATGAACATAGATGCAAAAATCCTCCACAAAATAGTAGCAAACTGGATCCAGCAGGACATCAAAAAGCCAATCCACCGTAATCAAGTAGGCTTTATCTCCGGGATGCAAAATTGGTTCAACATAGGCAAATCAATAAATGTGATTCACCACATAAACAGAACTAAAAACAAAAACTACATGATTATCTCAATAGGTGCAGAAAAGGCTTTTGATAAAATTCAACATCTATTCACATTAAAAATTCTCAATAAACTAGGCATAGACGGAACATGCTTCAAAACAATAAGAGCCATCTATGGCAAACCCACAGCCCACATCATACTGAATGGGCAAAAGCTGGAAGCATTCTCTTTGAAAACCAGCACAAGACAAGGATGCCCCCTCTCACCAATCCTGTTCAACATAGTATTGGAATTTCTGGCCAGAGCAATCAGGCAAGAGAAATAAATAAAAGACATCTAAATAGGGAGAGAGGAAGTCCAAGTATCCCTGTTTGCAAATGACATGATTCTGTATTTAGAAAACTCCATAGCTTCTGCCCCAAAGCTCCTTGATCTGAGAAACAATTTCAACAAATTTTAAGAATACAAAATCAATGTACAAAAATCAGTAGCATTCCCACAAAGAGAATAAAATACCTAGGAATACAGCTAACCAGGGAGGTGAAATATCTGTACAATGAGAATTACAAAACACTGTCCAAAGAAATCAGAGATGACAAATTAAAAAACATTCCATGCTCATGGATAGGAAGAATCAATACAATTAAAATGGTGGTACTACCCTAAGTGATTTACAGATTCAATGCTATTCCTATAAAACTACCAATGGCATTCCTCACAGAATTAAAAAAACTATTTTAAAATTCATATGGAACCAAAAAAAGGGTGCAAATAACCAAGGCAATCCCAAGCAAAAGGAACAAAGCTGGAGGCATCATATTATCTGACTTCAAATCATACTACAGGGCTACAGTAACCAAAACAGCATGTTACTGTTACAAAAACAGAGACATAGACCAATGGAACAAAATAGAGAGCCCAGAAATAATGGCACACACCTACAACCATCTAATCTTTGACAAAACTGACAAAAAACAAGCAACAAGCAATGGGGAAAGGATTCCCCATTCAGTAAATGGTGCGTAGTAAAAGGTAGAGGCCAACCTATGGGGGGAAGGAAGATGGAAAAACGGGGCTCTAGGACTGAGCCAACCTCTACCTTACACCACATACAAAACCTTCTGTATATGGCTAGCCAGTAGGCCAATGTTTACCTTACACCACATCCAAAAATCAACTCAAGATGGATTGAAAACTTAAATGTAAAACCTAAAACTATAAAAACCCTAGAAGCCCTTTGTCAGCAATCCAGAATCTACAAGGGACTTAAACAAATTTACAAGAAAAATATAAACAGTCACATCAAAAAGTGGGTGAAGGATATGAACAGACACTTCTCAAAAGAAGACATTTATGCTGCCAACAAACATGAAAAACAGCTCATCATCACTGGTCATTAGAGAAATGCAAATCAAAACCACAATGAGGTACCATCTCATACCAGTTAGAATGGTGAGCATCAAAAAATCAGGGAACAACAGATGCTGGAGAGGATGTGGAGAAATAGGGAATGCTTTTACACTGTGGGTGGGAGTGTAAATTAGTTCAACCATTGTGGAAGACAGTGTGCCAATTCCTTAAGGATCTAGAACTAGAAATACTTCTGACCCAGCAATCCCGTTACAGGGTGTATACCCAAAGGATGATAAATCATTCTACTATAAAGACACATGCACATGTATGTTTATTGCAGCACTATTCACAACAGCAAATACTCTGAACCAACCCAAATGTCCACCAATGATAGATTGGGTAAAGAAAATGTGGCACATATACACCATGGAATACTACGCAGCCATAAAAAAGAATGAGTTCATTACCTTTGCAAGGACATGGATAAAACTGGAAACCATAATTCTCAGCAAGCTAACATAGGAGCAGAAAACCAAACACTGCATGTTTTCACTCATAAGTGAGAGTCGAACAATGAGAACATATGGGCACAGGGAGGGGTACATCACACACTGGGGCCTGTCGTTTAGGGGTGGGGGGCAAGGGGAGGGATAGCATTAGAAGAAATACCTAATGTAGATGACAGGTTGATGGGTGCAGCAACCATGGCACATGTATACCTATGTAACAAACCTGCACGTTCTGCACTTGTATCCCAGAACTTAAAGTATAATAAAAAAATTAATTAATTAATTAAAAAACCCCTAGAAGATAACCTAGGAAATACCATGCTGTACATAGGACTTGGCAAAGATTTCATGATGAAGATGACAAAAGCAATTGCAACCGAAATAAAAATTGGAAAATGGAATCTAATTAAACTAAAGAGCTTCTGCACACCAAAACAAACTGTCAACAGAGTAAACAGACAACCTACAGAATGGGAGAAAATATTTGCAAACTATGCATCCAACAAAGGTCTAATATCGAGAAACTGTAAGAAACTTAAGCAAATTTACAAGCAAAAAACAAACAACTCCATTAAAAAGTGGGCAAAAGACATGAACAATCACTTTTCAAAAGAAGACATACATGAGGCCAACAAGAATATGAAAATGCTCAACATTATTAATTATTAGAGGAATGCAAATCAAAACCACAATGATATACCATCTCACACCAGTCAGAATGGCTGTTATTAAAAAGTCAAGAAATAACAGATGCTGGCGAGGTTGTGAAGAAAAGGGAATGATTATACACTGCTGGTAGGAGTGTAAATTAGTTCAGCCATTGTGGAAAGCAGTTTGTCGATTCCTCAAAGAACTTGAAACAGAATTACCATTTGATGTAGCAATCCCATTATTGGGCATATACCCCAAGGAGTATAAATCATTCTACCATAAAGACACATGCACACATATGTTCATCACAGCACTATTCATAGTAGCAAAGACATGAAATCAACCTAAATGCACATCGATGGTAGGCTGGATAAAGAAAATGTGGTACATATACACCATGAAATGCTACACAGCTATAAAAAAGAACAAGATCATATCCTTTGCAGGAACATGGATGGAGCTGGAGGCCATTGTCCTTAGCAAACTAACACAGGAACAGAATACCAAATACTGCATGTTCTCACTTATAAGTAAGAGCTAAGTGATGAGAACACATGGACGTAAAGAGGGGAACAACAGATATTGGGGCCTACTGGAAGGTAAAGGGTGGAAGGAGGAAAGGGATCAGAAAAAATACCTATCAGGTACTATGCTTATTACCTGGGTGATAAAATAATCTGTATGCTAAACCTTTGTGACATGTAGCTTACCTATGTAACAAACCTGCACATATGCCACTGAACCTAAAATAGAAGTTAAAATAAATAAATAAATAAATAAATAAATAAATAAATAAATAAATAAAATGTGGGTGTAAGCAGATAAAGAGAAGAAAACACAGTTGGTTAAAGCAGAAGGAGCTGGCCAGGTGGCAAAAATGGAACCAAGTAGAGGGTGGTATTCCGTACCACCCGTGCCACAGATTTGTACATAGCAGGGCAATGACAACTACTGTGAATTCGTTCATTCACTCATTTGACAAATATTTTTGAATGTCTATTATGTGTCAGTTCTGTCTAGGCGCTATACATAGATGAGTGAGAAATCCGTTCCTGTTCTCCTGGAGCATATAGTCTAGTGGAGGAGAGAGAGATAACACAGATGTAAACACATAGATCAACAAAGTGATTTCAAGTAAATACACATAATAAAAAGAAAATAACACAGGGTTACATGAATAGGGCATCGCTGAGAGAGTGGAAGCTATTTGAGACTGGATGGAGGGAAGGCTTCTCTGAGAATTATGAGAAGGGGCCAGCTGATGGAAAGATCTGGAGCAGAAAGTTCCAGGCAGAGGAAACAATTAGGGTAAGATCCTGAAGCAGAAAGAAGCTTAGCAGAAAGAAGGAAGACTGGTGAAGGGGGAGGGTAGTGTGCTGGAGGGGGTGGTAAAAGGAGACGGCTTGGAGAGGAAGCTGAGGCCCAACCATGTAAGCCTTAACGAACCGTGGTAAACAACTTGGATTTCATTCTAAGTGCAACAGAAAGCCGTGGAAAGATTTTAGATGGGAAAGTTACATGGCATGATTTATGTTTTCAAAAGGTCACAATGTCTCGTATGGGAGAATGGATTGAAGTGGAAGCCTGAAACCATGAGAAACGATGGTGCCCTGATCTTGGGGTTTGGAAGCAGAGTTGAGACAGACTGTGGCTGTATTTTAGGGATGGAGCTAATAGTATGTACTTATAGGTAGGATTTTGACAGAGCACCATTGGATGGATAATGATGCCATTTGCTGGATGGTGGAAGACTTGAGGAAGGGCTGTTGGTGGTCAAGAGTTCTATTTTTACTTGTTAAACTGGAGGTGCTTGTCACATGATGATGCCAAAGAGACAATTAAATGTATGAATTTAGAGTTCAAGGGAAGATGTGAATTTGGGATTTGACAGATGTTAAACTATAGGACTGGATAATGTTACCTATGGAGGGAGGGAGGATGGAAAAAATGAGGCTCTAGGACTGAGCCTAAGTTCTCCAACATTTAGCATTTCTGCTTGGGAAAACAGTTAAGCACAGGAGACTGAGAAGGATCTTTCTGTGGCATATGTGGAAAATCAGGATGGTGTGGTGTCACTGAAGCTGAGAAAAAAGCTAACCAAGGAAGAAGTGATCAATTGGGTTAAATGCTGTTGAGAAGGAGTACAAAATTGAAGGCAGAATCAACACCATTGGTGACTTTCACAAGAGCAGATCCGGTGGAATGAGAGATGGGAAACATGACTGGAGTGAATCCAGGAAAGAAGGAGGCCTGCAAGTAGAGGTTGTGTCTTTCAAGACATTTTACTGTGCAAAAAAAGAGAGAAATTTAATATTGCTACTACTTACTGATTCTACCCTGTGCTAGACATTTTTGCAGATGTTATTTACATTGTTCACAACAACCTTCGAGGTATTTTTAAATTTCCATTGTATAGATAATTAAAAAGAGGATCAAACGGGTAAAGAAACTTTCATAAGGCCACATCATTAGCAATGGCAGAGCTGGAATTCAAGCCCAGATCCTTCTTAGTTCAAGTCCTATCTCATTCTGTTACACCATTTTCTCACTGGAGCATTGGGTTACTCCACTGGGATGATTTGCAGTGACCTAAGAATTCCCTCTCAATTTCTGGGTGGAAATACATTTTTTGAAAGTTATTGCCATCCTGAAATTTCACTATTTGGGATTAAAGAAAACCTGTTCTTGAAGGTTTTTCAGACTTATTAAACAGAATTTTTTTTTTTTTTTTTCTGAGATGGAGGTTTGCTCTTGTTGCCCAGGCTGGAGTGCAATGGCGCAATCTTGGCTCACTGCAACCTCTGCCTCCCAGGTTCAAGCGATTCTCCTGCCTCAGCCTCCCGAGTAGCTGGGATTACAGGCATGCGCCACCATGCCCAGCTAATTTTGTATTTTTAGTAGAGACAGGGCTTCTCCATGTTGGTCAGGCTGGCCTTGAACTCCCGACCTCAGGTGATCCACCCACCTCAGCCTCCCAAAGTGCTGGGATTACAGGCATGAGCCGCTGCGCCTGGCCTAAACAGAATGTTAACATGATTTTAAATATTGTCTATAAGCTCATGACATCCCACCTTTTTCTCAATCCAGAACTTTCCTTTGGGTTCTGGGCTCATGCATTCAATTTGACATTTGAATGTCTTACAGGCATTTGAAAAGTGACATACCCCAAATGGTATTATTGACTTCCACACCCTCCTCTTCCAATTGTCCACATATGAGTAAATGGTGACAGGATCCTTGTCCTTTAACTGCTTATTGCAGAAACCTAGTAGTCATCTCCTAATCCTCTCTTTCCTCGTCTTCTACATCAGATCCATCAAGAAGTATGTCCATTCTTCCTTTAAAAGATGCCTCAAATCTGTCTGTCCTTTTCCACCTTCAGCATTCCCATTCTTGCTACTGCCCACCTGAAGTGGGTCTTTCCCACACCAGCATCTCGCCTGTCAATGTTAATTTCCTTCTAGCACTTATCCCATGCTGTTATAACTTAGTTTCATGTTTTGTCTGTTACATGTCTCCCTCTCTAGAATGTAAGTTCTATGAGGATAGGGACTCTATTTTCATTACCGTTGTGTCCCCAGTGTTTAACATAATTAACACAATGCCAGGCACATGATAGATGCACACCAATATTTTGGTACATGAATGAAAGGATGAATGAAAACATAATTTCCATGTGGAAGGTGGGGGCCGAAGTCAAGGAAATACCCCCAGCCAACTGTGACTAAAACAACAATGCTTTCCCCCAAAATAACCCACCCAAAGTCAGCAAATTCAGTCTCTCCACAGTCTTTGGGACACTGTGGCTCCTGGGGCTAGCTCCCTGCCAATGACATCCTTTCCTTCTCCTTCTCCTGGGTAAGTTGCACATTATTCTTCTTTGACATGGCAGTAATACAAAGGACAGCTTCTTGTTCAGTAGTTTACAAAGCACATGCAGGTATGTAACTTTAATAACCTGTGAGATAGGGAATCATGTTTTACAGATGGGACATTTGAAGAGTAAGTGAATATGAGTTGGTAAAAGCTGAGCTGAGTGTTGGGCCCTCTTGACTCTAGTTCAACTCTGCTTTCCACATAGCGCTCTTATATTTTCTATAAAAAGGATATCATAACCAATTTCAAAGTATAATAATGTTGTAAGGTCAATATTATGTGATTTGCCTAAGCATAGAAACCCTTCTGTTGAAAAGGGACATCTACTTAAGAATTCTACTTAGGGTTCAGCTTGCTCATTTCTGAAAACTAGGAAATAAGCTAAAGATTGTAATGATTTATAACTTACTGAGACCTTTTTTTTAAAAAAGAAACACAGTCTCACTCTGTTGCCCAGGGGCATGATCATAGCTCACTATAGCCTTGAACTCCTGTGCCCAAGCAATCCTCCTGCCTCAGCCTCCCGAGTATCTGGGACTATAGGCATGTGACACCATGCCCAGCTAATTTTTTAATTTTAAGTTTTGTAGAGATGGGGTCTCACCATTTTGCCCAGGCTGGTCTTGAACTCCTGGCATCAACTGATCCTCCTGCCTCGGCTTCCCAAAGTGCTGGGATTACTGGCATGAGCCATTGTGCCCAGCCTATTGAGATCTTTACATGTAATGATCTCACTTGTTCCTCAAAATAACCAAGGGAAATAGGTAGAATCGGTTTTATTATCCTCATGTTTGAGACAAGTTATCTGAGGCTTAGGAAGGAAAGGGCTTAAGGTTATCTGTTTATAGGACATTGATTAAAAGCAAGAATTCCTAAAGGAACACTACCTGTGTTTGGTTTCTGGTAGTAATACAATCTTGGGTGAATTCTATAATCCTCTGTGGACTAGTTTTTTTTTTTTTAATCAAAATGAGGATAATAATAGTATGTAGCTCATCAGATGGGGTAAAGATTATATTTGTTAATCAATATAAAGCATTTTATGTAATGTTTGGCACATGGTAATCTCTCAATAAATGCTAACTGTTAAAAAGTGACTAAGCCAGGCCTTGGACCAGTTCTTTGCTCTAACTTCGTTTCATTCAAGTTTGTCATATACTTATAAAATCAAGTGGCAACAAATTTCTTTTGAAATGCTCTTTTGGGGAGCATCTTAGGCCCAAGAATGTCTTGTTTAGATTTTTACTTAACTCGTACCTGAATTGCAGAAAAAAGATAAAAATTTAACGTTGCTACATCTTATGAAATCACTGGATAGGAAGTAATTTTGGCAGAGAGTATGCTGAAGATCATGATATCAACATAAAAAGTTGTTCTTTTTCATTTTTAGTTTTCTTCCAAACCTTAAGAATGTGGCAAGCTCTTTTTATTATGACACATGCTCAGACTTACCGTATGTCAAAGGAGAAAAATTTTCTTTCAACATTGCATGTTTAACATATCAGAGGCTGCATCAATTATTTATCACTTTTTCTGTCTCTTTGATTTCTGTGCAGAATATGTTATTCCAAGACCTGGATTAATTTAATCAATATATTTTAAAAAAGAAAACCAATGGGAGTAATACCAAGAACAGAAGCCATGGTCCTCAGAACCCGGAAACTTAAAAATTATTATGACCGTGGTTAACTCCCCAGGCAAACTCACATAAAACAAATCAATATTATCTGTCCTTATTAACAGGTTACTTCATTCAAACAAAAGTTCTTATGGAGCAGATACTGCTTTCTTCAAATTCCCATGTTTGGCAAAATCTTAATCTTTGCCATGGGTTTTCAGTTTCTCAGAAGGAGAGAAATGACATTCCTTTCTCAAAGGAACTGCTTTGATTGCCACTCTATTCTCTTTTTGGTTTGTCTGCAATCTCTGTAGCTTATCTGGCCACACATCTTTCTGAGGCTCTCCTATGGGAGCACGAAGCTGAAGGGCAGATCCTCAGTACCAAGGCTAGGTCTTGAGGTTGGCGCTGGTTAATTTTGAGTTTTCAGCCACTGCCACCTCCTTATCCCAAGAGAACTCCATGCCATTCCCCTACTTCACACTGGAAGAGTCTTCCCTGATGTCCAGTGACAATTTTAATTTTGAGGTTAACACTGAATTGGGTAGTAATCTTCATCTCTGCCACGTGCAAAGTCTCATCTAGTTTTATATTTCTGTTTTTAGTTTTTATTTTTTTGTTTTGAGACAGTCTTGCTCTTTCGCCCAGGCTGGAGTACAGTGGCTCGATCTTGACTCACTGCAACCTCCACCTCCCGGATGCAGGCGATTCTCCTGCCTCAGTCTCCTGACTAGCCGGAATCCCAGGCGCCTGCCATCATGCCCAGCTAATTTTTGTATTTTTAGTAGAGATGGAGTTTCACCATATTGGCCAGGCTAGTCTGGAATTCCTGACCTCAAGTGATCCACCCACCTCAGCCTCCCAAAGTGCTGGGATTACAGGCGTGAGCCACTGTGCCCGGCGGAGTTCTACATTTCAAACAATGCTGGAGATGCCCTTTAAGATCTTTACGGTTCACTTTCTAAAAAGTGGGAAAATAAAGATGACCTTCTACTTTGGAATTTCGTGAGAGTTATAGCATGATAAGATTGGAAGAGCTACTCTTTAGAGCTGGAAAAACTGGGTTGAAATCTTGGCTCTGTTACTAGCTGATTAACGTGGATAAATTTTTAATCCATCCTTAATTTCAGTTTTCTTATCTCTAAAATGATCATACTAACACTAAGTGGTAAGCTATTTTGAGGATTAAAAAAATGATGTATATGAGTTTCAATGCCCGATGCATAGTAAATCCTTGGCTTTTTTTTCTCTCATAGCGCAAGTACCATGAGGAACTAAGCTTTATGTCAGGGGCTCACAGACACATTTGGTGTGGCCTGAGCAATTTTATTTTTTAAAAAATGGGTTGGCCAGGTACGGTGGCTCACGCCTGTAATCCCAGCACTTTGGGAGGCCAAGGCGGGCGGATCATGTGGTCAGGAGTTTGAGACCAGCCTAGCCAACATGGTGAAACCCCATATCTATTAAAAATACAAAAATTAGCTGGGTGTGGTGGTGCGCACTTGTAATCCCAGGACTTGGGAGACTGAGGCAGGAGAATTGCTCGAACCCAAGAGGTAGAGGTTGCAGTGGGCCAAGATCAATGCCACTGCACTCCAGCCTGGGCGATAGTGCAAGACTCAGTCTCGGGGGGAAAAATGGGTTAAGGCCAGGCACGGTGGCTCATGCCTGTGAACCTAGCACTTTGGGAGGTCACGGCAGGAGGATCCCTTGAGCCCAGGAGTTTGAGACCAGCCTGGGCAATATAGTGAAACTCCACCTCTACAAAAACATGTTAAAAATGAGCCAAGTGTGGTGGCATGCATCTGTGGTTCTAGCTACTCAGGAGGCTGAAGTGAGAGGGTCACTTGAGCCTGGTAAGTCAAGGCTGCAGTGAGCCATGATCGTGCCACTGCATTCCAGTCTGGGTGACAGAGTGAGACCCTGTTCCAAATAAATAAATAATAAAAAGGCCTAACATATATTTTAAAGTTGGGAAATTTTATATAAAAATCTGGTTAGCTGGCTTTTCTCAGAGAGAAAAACAAGAAGATGTGGTAACATTTAGCCTGAATTACTCAAGGGCCAATCTTGACTGGAGTTTAGAACTATGAAAATAAATATAACTTAGAAGCTGCTGGAGGCTGGGCGCAGTGGCTCACGCCTGTAATTCCAGCACTTTGGGAGGCCAAGGCAGGCAGATCACCTGAGATCAGGAGTTCAAAACCAGCCTAGCCAATATGGTGAAACCCCATCTCTACTAAAAATACACAAAATTAGCTGGGTATGGTGGTGGGCAATCCCAGCTACTTGGAGGGCGGAGGCAGAACAGCTTGAACCTGGGAGGTGGAAGTTGCAGTAAGCCAAGATCCCACCACTGCACTCCAGCCTGGGCAACAAGAGTGAAACTCCATCTAAAAAAAAAAAAAGCTGATGGAATCCCTCAAACACTTTAAGTCTTGAAAGAGATGCGACTGTGATCTGAGTCACATGTAGTTACAACTTCTGTTTCTCAGATTATAGATTAACTTGCTATTTTATTTTTCTTGTTCTGTACAGTGACTGGAGAGAATTAAGTGACGTCAGGGACAAAAACTTCCTGCTTTCTTAGTTAATGGTCCTTATTACAAATTAACTTTCCCTTTATTGTCCTACTTTGCTTAGAACACATGACAAAAATCTCATGACTCTTACACTCTCTGTAAAAAATGTTAAATGTATCTTCCCAAAAGAAATGCTGCCTGTAACATATTAAACTGCTGTAACTATGCATCAACCTTGTATGAAAAATGTCATAATCTTGCTAAAAACTCTCTGATTCTGTATGAATAAGTGAAACCTTAACTTCTCTATTTTGAAGCACTGATTCCATTCCTTTGGAGTTTGTGTTTCCATGTGGGCCATCTTCAAACTTTGTGCTTGAATAAACTCTCTTTAAATTAAACCCTGATCCTTTTGGTTATTTGAGGTTGACAGTACTGACTGTCTCCTTTAGATGGGGTGTACATGCTGTATTTTATCACAGCCCCCAGTATACCCTATTTTTCTTATTGGTTGGGTATCATAACTTTCCATAACCTGCCAGACTTCTATGGTTGTTTGTTTGAGATCCCTGGAGTTAAAAGTCCACCATCGTTAAGGTGTGTACTTGAAATTGTTTTTCTACAATATTGGGTCCAGGAAGACTCTCTAAGACCTTTTAAGGGTAGAGGACATAATGCCAGAAAAGACAAATATTTTGGATTACATACAGATTTAAAATTTTTATATGGCAAAAGACATAAACATAGTCAAAGGATAAATGATTGTCAGGAAAATAATTTGTAATAAAGACAAAGGTAAAGACAAAAGTTTAATCTTTCTTTCTCTTTTTTTTTTTTTTTGAGACAGAGTCTCACTCTGCTGCCCAGGCTGGATTACAGTGGTGTGATCTCGGCTCACTGCAACCTCCACCTCCTGGATTCAAGCAATTCTCCTGCCTCAGCCTCCTGAGTAGCTGGGATTATAGGTATGCACCACCACGTCCAGCTAACTTTTGTATTTTTAGTAGTTACAGGTTTTCACCATGTTGGCCAGGTTGGTCTCAATCTCCTGACCTCAAGTGATCTGCCTGCCTCAGCCTCCCAAAGTGCTGGGATTACAAGCGTGAGCCACTGCGCCCAGCCAAAGGGTTAATATATCTATTTTACAAGAAGAGTTTGCCACCTGCTGAAAGACAAACAATTGAATAAAAAATAGAGGAAAGAATAAAATGGGGCAAAGGCTGTGGAAAGGCAATTTAAAGAAATGCAGATGGCTACAAAACACATAAACACAGGAAGTCAACTTCTCTGTTAATCATGGAAAAGCAAATTATGACAACAGTAAGAAACCATTGTTTACTTATTTGGCAGTAATGAAAAAGAGTGCTGATGTCCCAAGCTGGTACAAAATAGGGAAATAAGTATTTTCAAATATCGTTGGGAGTGTGAAAAGGTGCAGCCTTTGGGGAAAACAACTTGCCTAATATCTAATAAAATACAAACAGTGTGTGATTTACTGACCCCACTTTTGGGACTGTATCCTAGAATAAAAGGCCAGTATATTAGATTATACGTAAAAGTTTTTTTGTAGTATTGTTTGTAACAGTAAACAAAATAAACCAAAAAAAAATACTGGAAACAGCCTGAGTGGATTGTAACAGCCATTCTACAGATGGTCAGGTAGCAATGAGAAAGACTGAATTATAAACTGGAGGAATACCTGTGATATGCTGCAAAGTCAAAATAAACTGTTGCAAATTATGTATACAGCATGATCCTATTTTTATTTAAAACTCTAAAATCAACATATGTGTATATCTTTCTATAAAAATGAGAGGCTTGTAAATATGGAGGTGAGAGAAGCTATGGGAACAGAGGGGATGCGGGAGGAGATTGTTAGAGTCTGCAAGAATGTTAGCTTTAAAAAAATCACATCTTATTTTGCACAAAGAAGGCATACATTCCTTATATAAAAAAAAGTCAAATAAAAACATTTAAAACATGTTTTTCTTTAGCAGTGGGCAACTTACATGTTCACTGTCCTGAAGCCCCTCGATCTTGAGGAAGCATAATGATAAAGTGCTTTCAGTCACCCAACAGTGAAGCTGTCTGCCCTGATTAGGGATCAAACCTTTGACTTTAGTCTCCACAGCACAAAGTTCCAACTGAACAAATACCCTCTGTTTACACATCATCATAGCAAACTCAGAGACTGCTTGCAAATTATGCAAATATACACTGATAAGAGGATCACACGCCTCCTTAGTTAACTATGCTTTTATTATATGTTAGGCCTTTGAGTTCAAAAACAATTATGATATTGCATTTCAGTATAGTATGAAGGTAAAAGTATACAGTCTTGGCTGCAGATATAATAAATATAATTGCCCCTTTTTTACTGATTTACCCAGTGTTCTTTAAAATGTGGGTTTGATGTCATGTAAGCCATATCTGCTATTGTCACAACCACCTATAGGTTTCAGATTAGTAAAGTCTTTGAAATATGACTCTCCTAAGCAGAAAGGAATCTGCAGCACTTGGCATAAAGATTATAATCTTTGGCCTTCCTGTGGTAAGATTTATAACTGTGACCTTAGGCTCTATTTCTTTTGGAGTGTAGTCACTTTAAGTTACCAGTGATGATTGCTTTGAGTTATTAGGTCAGCGTGAATTGCCTAATACAATGTCAGCTTCGTGCTTCCCAAGGGCTGGGCAGTATTAGGGACACGAAACAAAGTGAATTTTAATGTCCGCAGAAGGCAGTGCTCTGATATATGAGCCACCTCAGTAACAATGAATTTCCATGGCAGGAGATTTCAACACCAGTTCTTAACCTCTTCTATGTTCTCCATTCTTTAATTCATGAAATATTATGAGTTCATTTTTAATTAGGTGAAATAGTCTGAAACTAACTGGTAAAAGGGAGGAAAAGGAGGAGTTACATGCTAGCTTTACCTTAGGGGTAACTTTTTCCTGGAATGACAAAAAGAAAGAGTTATGTGAGTTAAACTCAATGCCCTCCAATTCTGTTAACGCACCTTGACCTAGAAGCTGAAATGAAGGCTTCCTCCCACTGAAGTTCAAAAATGAAGATTCATGTTAATACCCAGGTGGCAAGCAACAAAGGCAGGGTAAGTTTGGTTTTTTACTATTCAAACATTGCCTGCTTTCAACAATTAAGTCACCTACAGTGTAAGAAACCAGACCTTTCTTTGATACACTACATTTAAATGTGTTGTCAACACTAGATGGCACTCAAGGGTTGCTTTTCTAGCATGTTCCTCCAGTTCCAAAGTCCTTTGCCATTAATTACCTCCTTTAAAAAGAGCAAACATGCTATTTAAACAAAGGGTCCCTGTAGTTACTCTGTAGTTCTGTTTTTATATTTATAGTCATGTAATCAATATGTTGGAAGAGTAATTAATTTTTAACCTCAACCTATGGGGAGATCAAATGTTAGTGGAGTTAATGGATGGAACAGGCTTCATTATTCTAAAGTAATGCTAATGATAAAGCAGGGAAGAAAGTCAAGGGTTGTAAACAATCGTGCCATCAAACACAATCATATAAAGCAACAGTGCAGCGCGATCATGGGATGCTGACCTCTTGCCAGTCTTCTTCAATATGACTGTTGTTTCTGTTTTAGTTATCTAGACCCTCCTGTGTGAATGAAATAGTCTCCTAACTCATCTTTTAAGGTATTTCCTCTTCCAATTCATGCTGTTGGAGTTACTATTCCAAATAATAGTTCTGATTTTGTTGCCCCTCTGTTTTGAAAGCCTCTCCTCATTCCCCATTTCCTAACACCTTAGAGTGATATTAAAGGTGCATCTTGATTTGGGCTCTCTCTACACTCCTGGAGCATGCACCCTAGTTTCTAGATTCTTCATCCACAATATTTCTGCAGTGCTTACTGTGCGCCAGCCTGTGTGTTTGTGTTCTTCCAAGAGAGATAACCCAGTGCACAGCATTGAAGCATGTCCATGGGCACGAAGGGTTCTGGGTGGACTCACTCCCGGAAAGGGGTGCGTTGGCATGGCCAGAGCTGAGGGGCTGGAAGACCAAAAGAACAAAAAACTCATCCTCTTTATTCTGATTATATTTTCCTATTACTCCACCCCAGGCTTGAATTTCCAAACCTACTTCCCCAGATCATGAGAAAATAAGAGAATCATTCTGTTATATGCGGGGAGGCTTATAGTCAATTGTACACCAAGGCTCATCTTCAATACACGCATTACTATTTTTCCCAAATATTATTATATTCAGATGAATCTTTCTTGTTCCTTAACCATACTTGTACTTTTCTGACTTCATTGCTGACATGATCCACTCTATGGAGGATGTCCTTTTCCTACCTGTCCATCTGGGCCCAACTCAGAAGCATCTTCCACACAACCTTCCTCAACCCCTTCTATTATAAGGAAGGTTTGTAAAGTGTGTTGACTCAGGCTTTCCCTCCTCCTTCCTGAAGGGCAGGAAGCCATCTGGACCACAAGGTGACCTTGAGGATAGAAGACATGCCTTGGGATAGTGGAGTAGAGGGATGGGAGCCTGGGTCCCTGCCAACATCCTGCAGCTTCTACACCAGCCCCCAACTGCCCATCCTCCAACCTGTTTTGTGTAAGAGAAAAAGCTCATCTCCTGTAAGCTACAGTTGTTTTGGGATTTTCTGAACCTAATTCTGATATACACACTGTAGATTAATTGTGTGTCATTGCTTTTTTTGTTTTTAGGAACTTTCTCTAATTATGATAAGATCAATGCTTTCATACAAGTGTAAGCAGGAGTTAAGATGTTTAAAGGGAACAGGTAAATGAATGCACAATTTTCCCCTTTTAAAATAGAAGACAGGAGTGAATATAATTTGTGTAATTTAAGATGCAAACTTTGGAACAATTTCAATGAAATGAAATTCAGAACAGAGGAGACCTGTCATTTGGGATTACTAGTTGTGATCTATAATGATTTGCTATTGTATGGTCTTTGCTCACTATTACATTCAGTGGGGCCTAGATTAAATTGAGCTAAAGGAAGTGTTAGTTTTTTATTCCTTTGGTATGCAGGAGCTCAGTTGTCTTTTTTTTAGAACCAGAGATTAATTATATTTGCATGGTGGGAGTTGGTGAGGAGGGAGAGGATTTAAAAAAAAAAAGGAAGAAATTAACATTTGTTGGGTATCTTTAATAGGCTAGTAGCAAAATGTACATAATTTTAAAAAAATCAGCCAGGCACAGTGGCTCATGCTTGTAATCCCAGCACTTTGGGAGGCTGAGGTGGGCAGATCACTTGAAACCAGGAGTTCGAGACTAGCCTGGCCAACGTGGCCAAACACCGTCTCTACTAAAAATACAAAAATTAGCCAGGCATGGTGGCGTGCACCTGTAATCCCAGCTCCTCGGGAGGCTGAGGCGCGAGAATTGCTTGAACCTGAGAGGCAGAGGTTGCAGTGAGCCGAGATTACATCACTGCACTCCAGCCTCGGCGATAGAGCAAGACTCAGTCTAAAAAAAAAAAAAAAAAAAACAATTAGCTGGGAATGGTGGTGCACACCTGTAATCCCAGCTCAGGAGGCTGAGGCAGGAGAATCACTTGAACCTGGGAGGTGGAGGCTGCAGTGAGCTGAGATCAAGCCATTGCACTCCAGCCTGGGCCACATAGCAAGACCTTATCTCAAAAAAAAAAAAAATCTTTGTAGGTGATAACCTAGCATTTTATGACGAGATAAGTAAGGCCTCTTCAATCTCACCTCCCTGACCTCTAGGCACTGTTGTGCCCTAAGGCTGCATCCTTGGCCCTCTCTGGTACCGATCCCTAGATAGTCTCATTCTGGTTCCATGGCTTCATACCACCAAATGTTGATAGTTTTGTTGTTTATCTCTTATCTTTCTCTTTTTTCTCTTTCCTTCCTTTCCCCTTTTCTCCCCTCCTTCCTCCCTCCCCCTGCCTTTTGTCTCTCTTTCTTTCTCCCTGCTTTGGAATAAATGCCCCTTGGGAGCAACAGGCTTGGCTAGTATATTGCCTGCTGTATCTTCCTTCTTTGCAATAGCACCTATCACGTAGAAGGGTCTCAGTAATATTTTTAAACCAAATAAATGAAAAATTGAATTTGCTGATGGGCAAATGATGAGTAGATGGCAGAGCTGAGATAGGCACCTGGCCCTAACTGGCTTCAAACCTTTGTTCTTTTGATACAACTCCTCACTAACAGTCAACCAGGACTCAGGTCTTCTCTGGTATTAAAGCAAGAACAAGCAATTTTAGCTTAAAAAGTGAAGAATTTCAGTAGTGATTTGGTTAATTTGCGTTCCCTCTAAATGATTTTACCTGAACTCCACGGATGCTTTAGTTAAGTACATATTTTAAAATTGGAATTATTTAAATAATTGCCTAACTTGCATTTTTTTGCTCCCATTTATTATTCTCTCTATGTATGAAGAACCATTTCCTTTTAAAAATAATGTTGCCCATACCCTTATGAACTAGTTAATTTTCTTTCCAACATTTTCTTTTGGGCCATGTAGATATGACCTAATAGTCACTGCAATAATGCTGTTGTTTCAAAGGGTAGAGACCTTTTTTCTTATACAAATTGAATGTGAAGAAAAAAAAAACCACCTCACACAGTGTGAGAATGCCTGTTTTTCTTGGTAATATTTCATTTCCTTAGCGAGACTATTTTCTTCTGCTTTCCATTGTCAGCAGACAAAAAATATACAATTAAATCAAGGAAACCTGGCAGGGCCGATTTGGGAAAATCGAGTGAAATCAGTTTCTGATTTGAACAAAGGGCAGTTTATTATGTTGGAAAAACACTGCTCTGATGAGATTCACACTCAACATGTCTCATGTTAGCACCGGACACCACCTTGGAGCTCCATTTGTGTTTATCTTTGAGAGGGGGTAGTGATTTTACCCCCAAACTTTGAACTCCAAAGAGGACATGGAGTTGTTTAAGGGTCAGCTAGCGACCAGCACCCAGAATGTTCAAGCAGAGGCCCAGGGCCAGATTCCCTGACTTCTCCAGCCTTGAGCTCTTTGATTCTGAGTACAGATTTGTGTAAACAACTCCAGCAATTATGTGGGAGCAAATGAAGTGCTGGGGTTGGTTAGAGGGAATTTTGTGAATCAGATGAGTTCTACGGAGATTTTCAAAGTAAAAAAATTACATTCTGATGAACCATAATAACACCTTGTACTTGTGTAAAATCTTACACAATTTAATATTTACAATCAATGCTGTGAGGTATAATCTTAATTTTTTATAGACAAGAAAAGCACAACTTTTAAGTAATGTGGAAGGTCACATAGGCAGTAAAGTCAGACTGGATCAGGACCCTGGTCCAGTTTCTATTAGGTTGATACTACCAAAAAGGATGAAGAAAATCAATGTCTGTTTTCATGATTTTTACCTTCAGACTTTTCTGAACTGTGCCAAACTTTGGACATCTGTGGAGGTAATTTTATTCTAGAGTCTTGAATAAAAATTTAAAAAGTAAAATCAAGGTCTCCGGCAATAATGACTGCCACCCTTTGAGAGCTTTGCACACATTGTCTCATTCAATCTTTGCACAATCTTATGAGGAAGCCACTGTTAGTATTTCTACTTTATGGATTCAGAAACTGAGGCTTAGGAGGGTTACGCAATTGGTCCAAAATCGCACTACTGATAAGTGGTGGAAATGAGTCTGACCTAGCATATCTGATTCCCAAGTGTGTCCAGCTAACCTCTGTGCTATCATGAATACATCGAGAGTGAGAGTGGGGGGTGGGTGGGCCTGCCAGCCGCTCTCTGGGCGCTGAATTATGACTGGATTAAGTCAGTAACATGATGTCAGGCGACTCAGGTTTCCACATGTGGCTCTTTATGTAACAGGCAAAATTAGATTGGTGTGCTTCTGCCAAAAGGACAGTTGGACCGAAGGCAAGTAACTTGCTACAGTAAACAACCCATCTCTATGATGCATGTTTGCCACACTTAAGTACAGTTCAGTCTCCTAAAAGTTGTCAGTCAGCTGAGATTCTGAAATAATCTTTCACAGAGTGCTGCTTATCATAAATGGGTGATTTATTTTTATTACCTAAGTTTAAAACTCTTTATAACTTCCAAGCATCTGGAAACTTTCACTGCAAATTTCCATTGAAAAACAGAACTAGAATTTTAGAAAAGCATACTATTTTGTTGATTAAAAATATATTTATTCTGCTTTGGCAAATAGAAACAAGTGAATCTCTTTCTTTAATTTTTTATTAAGAGAAAATCATTTTAATCTCCTCTCCATTTAAATAAAAGTTGAGCAAAACAAAGGTAAAGGATACTGGTTTGAAGCAATATCAAATTATAAGTCAGTGGGGGAGGGGGTAGTTCACAGAGCTTGGTCTAGCCCTGTTTATATGGCTCATACCCCAAAGGGGGATATTTCTGTTGAGAGTTCAAAGTCACAGAGGTAGAAGAACAATATTCTTGACTGGGGAAGGGTGTGCCGAGTCATAGTTCGGTCAATAAGACAAAGGTTATTGAAGGATGTACTAAAGTGTCTGGTTTAGTTCAGTTCCACTGATGCAGAGTGGAACATTTCTGAAAAAGTGCATTAATATTAGCTACCCATGGGGAGTGAGGATGGAGGGGGAGAGAAAGTGGTCGGAGGATATTTCCTGTTCACTTTATATCTTTTTGTCCAATTTAAAATTTTTTCCTCAAAAATATATTTTATAATAAAAATAAACAAAATGAAACAACAAAGGATCTGCACAGAGAACATCTAGGAATGGGCATAGGTTTTTAAGCAGGAAAGTGAAGTGATCAGATATATAATTTTGGTAGCTGTTTTGGGGTTATAAGGAAGAGGCAATACGGAAAGGTAGAATCAAGAAGTCAGCTGTTAGAATACTCTTGAAATAAGATGTTGAGTAATAAGTTCTAAGTGAAGTATAATTTTGAGGCACTATTCTAAAGCCCACATGGAAGATCCACTTCTTTTTTTTTGTTTTGTTTTTTTTGTTTTGAGACAAAGTCTCACTCTGTTGCCCGAGCTGGAGTGCAGCGGTGCAATCTCGGCTCACTGCAACCTCTGCCTCCGGGGTTCAAGCGATTCTCGTGCCTCAGCCTCCTGAGTAGCTAGGATTACAGACAGGCACCCGCCACCACGCCCAGCCAATGTTTGTATTTTTAGTAGGAGACAGGGTTTCACCATGTTGGCCAGGCTGGTCTCAAACTCCTGACCTCAGGTGATCCACCCACCTCGGCCTCCCAAAGTGCTGGGATTACAGGCGTGAACCACTGCGCCCGGCCGAGGATCCACATTTTCTTCAGATCAGAGTATTTAAAATAAAACGATTCTAGGCAAACAGAATGTTAGATCTTTGATATGCCTACACTAGAGGGAGTTGCATTTTTATTATCAGATTACTTCTCTGTCAATAAAACAATGCATAAGTAAACACATCCTTAAAGTACAAAAGTAAAAGTACATACAGATACATGAAAGAAAAAAATGATAAAGAATCTATAATTTGTGAACGACAAACGAACTTAAAAAATTGAGTAAGAACAGCAAATGATCAAATGATGCATTTTTTTTTTTTTTGCTTTAGCTTCTCCCCCTGCCCCACTTTGAATCAACCAGGCTCCATAATGGCAGCCCTGATTTTTTACTTTCTGTCAGTTTAAGCATTCGTTTACTAAAACAATAGCAGTTCAATAAGCAAGACTAATTCCTGAGAGCATTACCTTAGACCATTAGCTTTTAGTCAGTCATTAATTCCTGTGACATGTCCTGGGATTAGATCATTATTGTTATCATTATTATTTTTCTCAATTCAATTTGTTTTCAAAAATGCATCTATGTTGTTTTAACGCTAGATATTTCCTTTCTGAAATATGATTTTTAGTGACTTTGGGACAGTGATTTGCTGCTTCATCCAGGTGTTTCCATAGGCCCTTTCTCACAGCTTAACAAAAAATTAGAAGAAGTTTTACAGCAGTATCACACTAGGATATTTGAGTGTCTCTGTAATTTTTCTTTACTGAGACTTCTAAAATCATTTCTGAGGACCACGTGACTGACTTTAGACATGTGGCCTCTTGGGGGCAGGATTTCACAAAGCCTTTGTATTCAGCGTTTCTTGTTTACAAGAATTGTTGCCACTGATGAATATGGTGGTTGTTTAGTCACAGTTCTGCAGAAGGAAAGCCCCAGTTTGTCTATAATGGAAAGAGCAGATGTCACAGGAACAAAGTGGCCAACGTCAAAGTAAGGGCTTTGATTGGCAAAGAGCAGGCTGTCTATTACCACATCTCCACACTTAGGCTTAGAGACATAGAGAAGAAAACTCGTAAAAACAGCGGTGAAAATTATAAACCACCAAGAAAGGTAAAGGAAATATGGTGCTTAAAAATTCCAGGCTGCCCAATAAAAGTAGGAACTGACATTACAGATCCCCTGGACCATAAATGAAGAACACAAATGGTTTGCAGAACCAGCGAAAAACAGTTCTGACATGTTTGGATGCCAAAGATTTTTAAAGTTGATCTCTTTTGGCCTGGTAAGATTTTATGCATTTTTGTCGTTCCAGCCAAGAGGTCTAAGGATTAGTGGATGTTTCTGCCAGCCTGGGACTCATGCGGTGAAAAGAATGTACTCATGTGACAGTGAAAAATTGAATGCACAAAGACAAAGGGCTTCTTTTCAAGAAAGGAATAAGAATTAATTCTCATTGTAATTTGGGCCCAGTGCTTCAAAAATAACGTTAAATTAGTAGTTAATTTAAATCAGAGATGTCTGTTTATGCATTCTAAATATGGCCATTTTCATCTCAGAATTGCTTCTCTAAGAGTACCTCGTTTTCCACCGGGTGTGGTGGCTCACACCTGTAATCCCAGCACTTTGGAAGGCTGAGGTGGCAATCATTTGAGGCCAGGAACTGGAGATCAGCCTGGCCAACATGGCGAAATCCCATCTCTACTGAAAATACAAAAATTAGCTGGGTGTGGTGATGCATGCCTGTAATTCCAGCTACTTGGGAGGTTGAGGCAGGAGAATCACTTGAACCCAGGAGGTGGTGGTTGCAGTGAGCCGAGATTGAACCACTGCACTCCAGCCTGGGTGACAGAGAGAGACTCCATCTCAAAAAAAGAAAAAAAAAAGAGTAACTAGTTTTCAGAATGCTTAACCAGGTAGGGTTTAACTACGCAGGAGAATTGGACTTGAGCCGTATTCTAAACTGGTCTACATGAGGAGCTAACTCCTTATTAAAATAATGATAGTAATAATAAAGGAGTAGGAGCTATTTCAATATTTGGATGCTAATTTATATAGGCTAATAATTATAAATATATTCACTTATTTTAACCTACATGTTTTATTGATAAGAACAAAAACACATTCATCAGAATAGCTCGGGAACATCAATGGAAGATAAAAGGGAGAAGACAGAAGTGCTTTCTGTTTCAAATGTTTGTTAAATATTTGCCTTGAAGCCAACATAGTACTAGTTGGATGACAAGATAGTAAGTCCTATTAATGATGGGCTTTTCATTACAGTAGATATGCTTTTGCAATTTTCCTAGATTTCTGCCCTGGGGTCACATGGTAAGTTAATAGTAGTTATAAACCTCTCAGCATTGTGATCAATATCTTTGGCTGACGTAATCTAGTTCTCTGGAATAATTTACAACAAAGGACAGTTTGGGCAAGCATCCATTTTATTACCTTCAATTCACCAACTGAAATATTTCATTGGTTTATGACTGAAGTTCTTTCCAATTCTTTGATAGATAAGGAATTGAGATAGTCCTGAAAGAACCCCTCAAATATGAAAAAGAAAAACAGCAATAAGCATTTCTTCCTTTGGGGCATAACGTCTGCATACCTCTCTGTGTCTTGAAACTGTCTGAAGTGCTACAACAGTGAGTCATGTGTGCCTGTGTAACTTGCTATGTGTGTCTAGTCATGTATTCCTCATCTTCAAACACATAGCACATAACTAAAACAATACTGTACTTAGTTTACTTTTTCTTCAACCTGAATGATCATTAACCATCTATTAACATTTGAGCAAAAATGAGGAACAATAATAATTTCTAGACACCAATACTGAAGACTATGGCTCTTATTCTTGCACCTTCATGCAACATGCCTGTCATTTAGACAGAATGTTCTCTTCCATGTCTGTTGTGTATTCCAGGTCTAAAGGCTAAAACAGAAAAAAGGAATCTGTCACAGGAGAAGTAATTAAAGTGATAGTGGGGAGTGTAGAGAAAGAAGTGAGGGAGTTCTCTTGCCAGTGCCACTGTCTTGTCACCTTTCTCCTCTCTCACCCTCACTGTCATATGCAGGATGAGGCAGAATCACAGCTGTTTCTACTGTATATAAAGCAGGTGTGAGGTGAAGAATGGGGTAAGAAGTTGGCTGGGCATGGTGGCTCATGCCTGTAATCTCAGAACTTTGGGAGCCTGAGGCGGGCAGATCCCCTGAGGTCAGGAGTTCAAGACCAGCCTGGCCAACATGGTGAAACCCCGTTTCTACTAAAAATACAAAAATTAGCTGTTGTGGTGGTGGACACCTCTAATCCCAGCTACTCAGGAGGCTGAGGCAGGAGAATCGCTTGAACCCAGGAGGTGGAGGTTGCAGTGAGCAAAGATCATGCCACTGCACTCCAGCCTGGGCAACAGAGTGAGACTCTGTCTCAAAAACAAAACAAAACAAACAACAACAAAAACCAAAAAACAAACAAAAAACAAAAACAAAAAGAATGGGGTAAGAATTTGGATTTAAACATCTGTAATGCCCCTCCAAGCCTCATTTCCCTTTAGCCAACTAAGGCTACCTATACATGGGCTTTTATTGTCTAAGACTAAAGATAATAATGATATTATGATTATTGAACAACTATGGTGTGCCAGGTGCCTTTATACACTTTTTTTTAAAGTCCTCAAACAACTTTGTGGGGGTAACCATGATTAATGTATTTGACAGATGAGAACACAGGTTTAGAGAAGTCCAATATGTTGCCCAATCTGAGTTAGGGCTTGGTCTGTTGCCCAGGAGCCTGCACTTTGTGTATGTTTAAACTGTGGTGTCTCTTCAAGACAACTCACAAATCTAAGAAATGAATAATTTTTAATATTCATTAATTATGTAATTTTGTCTGTTTCATCAAATTCCTTGGGGTGAGAGGGACTGTTTATTTTTATATCCCCATTACCTAGCAGTGTCTGACATATATAGGTGCTTGATAAATATTCGTTGAGTTAAATAAAATACTAATCAATTTCTTTTATATAATGCTAACTCATTTTCTGAACTAAATCAGGTAGATTAACAATGCCAGATGTCAGCATTCAAGCATTTGATGTATTTCTACGCGTTATATATCCCTTCTCCCTATTTCTTTAAAGATGGAATCCACTGTGTAGGTCAGCGAGCAAAAATATAATTGATGCTTATATCGTGAAGCGAAAACCCTGTGATAATTAAAAATGCGTAGCACCAAGCCAAACTTCTTAAAGGTCTATCTTTCTATTTCTCTTTCCCCAGAAAAGTCTGCATTCTCCATATTAGTGTTCTCCAAACATCATGGGAGCTACATAGGCAATAACTCTGTCCATGGTGGTTTAAAGTAGGCTGGGTGTGGTGGCTCACGCCTGTAATCCCAGCACTTTGGGAGGCTGAGGCAGGTGGATCACTTGAGGCCAGGAGTTTGAGACCAGCCTGGCCAACATGGCGAGACCCCGTCTCTACTAAAATACAAAAATCAGCTGGGCGTGATGGCGTGTGCCTGTAATTCCAGCTACTCAGGAGGCTGAGGCAGGAGAATGGCTTGAACCCAGGAGGTGGAGGTTGCAGTGAGCCAAGATCATGCCACTGCACTCCAGCTGGGGGGGCCAGAGTGGGACCCTGTCTCAAAAATAAATAAATAAATAAATAAATAAATAAATAAATAAAGTGATGGGGAATAAGAAAATGCTGTTTCAGTTCAGCAATTATTTGAGAATCTACTAAGTGCCGGATTCTAGAGATGTAAAGATGACAGGTTGTTCTCCTTATGGGAGAGAGTTGGATTGAACTTTCTGGGGAAATGCATCTTTTGAGTGGGAGAGAGTTTGGCCGTGAGCGGGGGTTGAATTATCTCCCAGTAAAGGATCAGTGTCCATTGTATTTTGTAGGCATTATTTTAAATTGGGTTCTTTTAAAATTAGATTACCCCCAATGTGTCACACAATTCTTAGATGGCTGAAATTATCACCTTTGAATTCCCTTACCATTACAAGAATATACATGGAGATAACCTGAAGGTAATTTCTCTGGTAACTGGGGGTAAAAGGGTGGGCACCTGTGTAGATAAAGAGTAGTTTTGATGGGGCAAGAAGGCCTCTCTCTCCAACCCACACCTAGGTATCTGTGCGCCAATGGTGTGGCTGCTGCTCCATTTTTGTGTCTTCTAGTCTAAGGACACACCTTGCTGGAGAAGAGCACCATGCTAAAACAGGAACCAGATGCTCTAGCAGTTGAAAGATCGTCAGAAAAATCCAGGTAATCAGCAACTTAGACCAAACCCTTGGAAAGACAGAGACTTCCTGAGATTCGGGGATGCATGCTGTTTTACTACTTCCTCAGCATTCACTTGACTAAGGCTCTCCTACATGGATGAGCTCTATGCAGCCAGGTGAAATCCATCTTAGGCTTCCTCTATCATTATGCAAATGCAGGTAATCAAGCATGACTGGCAATAACCACTATCAGTATACAAGATGTTGCATCACTTTACTTTAATTGCATGATTTATCAGAACAACTATTAACATACGAAGTACCATTCAGTTCAGCTGCAGGTATAGGCAGTGACAAGTATCTAATTCTTAGAAGAATCACTTACTCCCACAATCTGTCCAGACACATTAATCTAAGGACAAGTTTATAAATAGCAAACGTGATTTTCACATTGCAGTGTTCTCAAGAATGTATATACAAGTGTGTAGTCCTGTTGATGGGATGTTTCCCCGAGTTCTTTCTATTGATGCGTTCATGCTCTTGACCCTGGTAGAGACAGTTCTTTCTTTCCACAGAGCAGATTTTCTTTTGTCATCCACCATTTACAATACTCTGTGAATTAGTATTACTTATTACATTTATGAAACGGCAATATTTGGATTGTAATAGCTCTTCAGTACAATTCCTTGTGTCTTCTGGTAAGTCTCTGCACTATCAGAGAGCTTTTAGTTATAATCATTTTCCTGCAACAACAGCCAAACTCAACTATTGAGTTTCAGTGTGACACACCCTCTTTGTAGCTTGCTGGGTTAACCCTTGGCTTCAAGTCCTGATGATGTAATGAGGGTGGGGTGTATTGGCAATCAGTACATTTCCTTATCGCAATTTACAGTCATTGAAAATCATGCTGTCATTAATCCCAGTCTGACATACCTTTTCTAAAATGTTCACAGTGCAGTGTTTTTGTGGCCTAACAAAATTTTTCTCATATCATTAAAAATAAACATTTTTATAAAAAATATAACACTTTAAATGTTTACGTCGACAAAACCAGTTAGAGTAACCTACACCACATGCACTATACAGTAGCAAGCACAAAATTCCACAGAATGAAGCATCACAAAGTTCTGCTCAGGGTGGCTATTCCATCTAGGTGAAATAGCTGGGATTTTCAATTGCCTTTTTCATTTGTTTCTAAAGTATGTTTTGCTTAACATAAAACACACCCTAATGCAAAATAAAACTCCCCAAAAGTTTTGTTTCCAATTGCTTGCGAGGTGGGAACCTGCCACCGAGACAGAGGCTAATCTTTTCAATCCATCCACCCTTTCTTTGCTCTACCTATGAGCTGTGATTGGAACCAATGAACCTTTTAGTAAAATGTATCCTGCTTTACAAACATGCTGAGTTATCTTTAAAAATATTTATCAACAAATTACTTGTCTTATTTTGAGTTTTCATTTAAAAAAATACACACAAAACATCTACATGTTCACATTCATTAGATCAGAGTAGCATCATTCTCAAACAGTGGGTTTTTATATGACAACTAAATATTTCATGATGACTAAATTATTTCATACAAATTTTCTTAATGTCATCTATGTACATTACATCCTGTTCATTTATAAACATGTTTTGTGTGATGCTATTTTGAAACTTTGACTGTATTGCCTATAAATATTCTTCCAACCAAAGGAATGTCTATACAAAAATTTATAAGGGCTGGGCGCAGTGGCTCATGCCTGTAATCCTAGCACTTTGGGAGGCTGAGGTGGGTGGATTTCTTGAGTCCAGGAGTTTGAAACCAGCCTTGGCAACATGGCAAAACCCCGTCTCTACAAAAAATACAAAAATTAGCCGGGGATGGTGGTGTGCGCCTGTAGTCCCAGCTATTCGGGAGGCTTGAGCCTGGGAGGTGGAGGTTGCAGTGAGCTATGATCACACCACTGCACTACAGCCCTGGCAACAGAGTGAGATCCTGTCTCAAAAAACAAACAAACATTTAAAAGGGAATGTTTACCTAATGGGTGAATGACACCATCAGTAATGAAAAATGTTATTGACCATACAACACACAAAAGTGTTTTGAAACACTAGAATTCTAAATGAGTGGCCTGTTCTGGGGCTGCCGCTCCTGTCCTGAGCATTACTATCTCTTCTGAGTTTTCTGTGATCAAGAAGCCCTCAATATTTCCTGCTTCAATTTCCCATATGAAATCAAGTGGTACCTGATTTTTAAAAAATTCAACCCAGAATTCAAGTTTTGGACTCCAATATGACAGGAGTGTTGTCACGGCTGCAGGCCATTGGTCCGTGGCCTGTGGGACCAAGCCTCTGGTTCTGATGCTCTGTCAGATAAGAAATTCCTTAGAATCCAGTAATTTAAATAACAATACAAGTCCTATAATAGTGCAATTTTGGCAAGAGCAAAGAATATCGATGGCCTTTTAAAGGTCAGGCAGTGAAAAAACCATTGGACAAAGTGTGGACTGTTGCTTTGACATAGTACTAGCACTATGATGTCTCCCAGAAGGAGGCTGGTCGTGTGTCCACCTCATCATCAGCGTTATCTTCTGATGACAACAGAGAAGGATACGGAGCGACACATTTTACGTTCACATAAGTAGCGTTCACATGGACATAGTGCTCCCCAATGAAAGTAGAGAAGATCGCTGATATCCGGGACACCAGTTCAGAAAAGGATGGGCGCATTTCGGCTTTAGGGTGCCAGCATTTTAGCATTACTTCATATCTGTTCCAAAAAGAAAGACATGCTGTAAGAGACCCTTTGAAGGCAGGCATTTCTGTAAAAGTAAAGAACGTAAGAGGTACAGAAAGACTACTTACAAGGGGTCTGGGCAGTATTCGGGTTGTAGGAGTCTTCTCCCTTGCAACAAGTAAACAGTTATATCAAAGGTGTTTACGTCAGGATAAGGTGGGGCTCCTCTTGTCATCAGCTCCCAGAGGAGCACGCCAAAGGACCACTAGTAAAACAAGAAACAGGACAGATGAGGTGAGAGATGTGACCATACATATATGAAAGGAAATCAGTAGGTCTTGGTAACTAAACTTGGCTTTACATACTCAATACGGTTTCTGTTTTGGGCAACAATTTTCTTAAAGGCAATTATTAAGCTATACATTTCATGACTTGTTTAAACAAGTAAGGTTTAGATTATAAGTAAATGTAAAGTTTTCTAAAAGAATATCTGAAGTCTACATGATGATGAAGATTCCATCTGTAGTTGGTAGAATATCTCTTCCAAAATTCTCTCCCGCTGTGTCAAAGCACTAACATGTTTCTATCCTTTTCTTTTCCAATAGCTTCACTACAATTTTACATTACTTGTAAAAGAAGAAGAAAGCCTCCCAAAATTTAAATTTGTGTGGTTTCAAACTGAACATAAATACTCTTTAAGAAATGTAACCACATTGAAAGGTTACTATTAAATGGGAAGGTCTAAATCAACATAAGTAAAAATACATATTAAAAATCAGAAATAAAAAAAACTGCAAGGCAACAAGTTTCTCTATTGAAAATTAATTTCAATAAAACTGTCACATGAAGATGTGAAAGTACTAGATTCATATAAAATAGCCGTATCAGTACTATATAGGAAGATCACAGGGACACGGAGAGGTTAAGTGACTTGCTAAAATTCCCCAATACATCTGAGTCCACACTGGGATAAACATTTAAGAGTTCCTGACCCTTAGGTCTTGTTTGGTCTACTGAACTTCAATAAACATGCAATTTCTTGATTTAAAACACTGTGCTCAGGATAGACCAGGTCATACATATTATCTCCCCCTGGACATGTGCCCATGCAAGAATGACACGAGGAGAGTCAGCATGGGCAGAGGCCGCCCCTGTGGACAGGACCCAGGGGGGCAGTTCTGGCCCAGCAACACTTCCAGGCCACTCTAAGAGTAGGAAGCATAAGGAGGAAGAAATGAAGGAAGCTTGGAGCAGAAGGAAAATCCACACCAGACAGCTGGAGTAGGAAGACATAAAACTGAGAGGCAAGTGTAGCTTGCAGTACCCAGCAAGAAGGAGAATAAAGCCTGCCTTTGAACGCTGCGACTGAAAGAAAGAAATGAGGTAGATGCTGTAATTGCTGATACAAATTACCATTAATGACTTCTTTGCCCAAGTGCAAGAACCCTTGATGGCTGCTGACTGCCTTGATCCCAACAGAAAACTCAAACCCCTTGCCAGGAGGGAGCTACAGAACTTTGCTGTCTAATTCAGCTTTGCAAAGTAGAAGTTTTCAAAGTCTGAAAATCTTAACAATCAACAATCACTTCTGACAACATCATCGTGTTAACTTTCAAGTCCCAGAATATGCATTAACATTTAAAATCAATTTAACAAGTATCAATTGACCCTTGATCACATACGAGTAGGTTACTGTTCAAGTTACTAGATAGGTCCCAGGGCTGAATGAACAGGGTTAAGAGAATTGAGCAGATAACTGCCACACAGGACAATAAGATAATAGCTGTAATATAGAGCAGTAATATCAAAGAGGTACAAAGGTTGCCAAAAGTCAAAGAGATAATAGTAGGGTACTGAGAAAGGCTGCAGGAAGAGAGTGACAGTAAGGTGGGTCTTGAGGAACAGGGAGACTTTGTTTTATAGGTGCAGGTAATATGAGGGCAGAGGGAGAGTTTTGGGTGGAGGGGGTGGGGCCAGGAGTAACAGTACACATGTGTTCTTTCTTTCCTTTTTTATTTTTTGAGATGGAGTTTCGCTCTTTTGCCCAGGCTGGAGTGAAGTGGTGCAATCTTGGTGTACTGCAACCTCTTCCTCCCGGGTTCAAGCGATTCTCCTGCCTCAGCCTCCTGAGTAGCTGGGATTATAGGCGCCTGCCACCATGCCAGGCTAATTTTTGTATTTTTAGTAGAGACGGGGTTTCTCCATGTTGGCCAGGCTGGTCTCTAACTCCTGACCTCAGGTGATCCACCCTCCTTGGCCTCCCAAAGTGCTGGGATTACAGGCATGAGCCACGGCGCCTGGCTGCATATGTGTTCTTATTAAACCATAAAGTATAATAGTTCACGTTGCTTGACATGTTGGAGTAGGGGAAGGGATTAGGGACCCATAAGATTGAAATGGGACTGTGCTGTGGAGGTTTTTAAATGTTGAAAGTGGGTTAGACAGGACGGGACAAGGTGGTTCACATCTGTAATCCCAGCACTTTGGGAGGCGGGGGTGGGCAGATCACTTGAGGTCAAGAGTTCGGGACCAGCCTGGCCAACATGGTGAAACCCTGTCTCTACTAAAAATACAAAAATTAGCCAGGCATGGTGGTGTGCACCTGTAATCCCAGCTACTTGGGAGGCTGAAGCAGGACAATCGCTTGAACCTGGGAGGTGGAAGTTGCAGTGAGCTGAGATCGCGCCCCTGCACTCCAGCTTGGGCGATAGAGTGAGACTCCGTCTCAAAAAAAAAAAAAAAGAAAGTGCGTTAGACTGAAATCAATGGGACATGGCTGAGTTCTGAGTTGTGCTCAGGGAGATGGCATCTGTAAGCGCCAAGCTTAGAACAGAAAGGAGAAGCTGATTCACAATATGGAGGCCAGTTAGGAGGTTTCTGAATAAGAATAGGTGAGGGACACTCCTGCATACCTACAATACGGAAGCCTATGAGGCTTTTCTCTGGAATTAAGGTAGTGAAAGAGTGTATTTGTCATATAATGATTCATGCATAGGCATTATATCCTTTACAAAACATCTTATTTAATCCTTATAATGGATTGTACTTGGTTACAATCCTGTGATGTAATTGGTTTTATTTTAGGATGAGGAAGCCAAAGTTCTGTGATCAGGTCTCCCTATCTGACAGTCTACGCTACATGTAGATTTGTCTGGAGACAAAGTCACATAAAAGGGGGATGGAGTTGGGTAATTTTCCAAGGAATTAAAGGACGTGGGCAATAACTGGGTATCAGAAAATAGCTGGAGGACTCACGGGACAGGGAGGTAAGAGGAAGAAGGTTTCCAGGAAGAGCATTGTATTGTCTGCACTCCACACTCCCCTGAAAGCATTGTGGGGCTGACAGCAGGGTGAGGGGAGGGACAGTGAAAGAGGAGGTGATGCTGATTAGGATGATGACCAAGAAGAGAGAAGCTGGTGTGTGTGTGTGTGTGTGTGTGTGTGTGTGTGTGTGTGTGTGTGTCTGTCGGTTGAGGGGGGGTCGGGGGTGAGGGGAGGGAGGTGTACAATTCATGTGCATTAGGAAACAAGTCAGTTTTAGTTTCAAGCCATGAGAGCGCTATCATCCGTGCTTACTGTATGGCATTGGTCAAGCCATTTTGAGCATTTGAGCACCAGCAATAAGCTCATCTGGAGAATATCTGGCCTAACTTTACTGAAGGTGATGATCAAAGAAATGATTAAATGTGAAAGATGGTTGTAAGCTATGAAAAGTGATAGACAGGGTTGCTACTGAGGTAAGTGAGCAAGGAAGGATGATAGGCAAATCTGAGCATTCAAGAGTAGATGCATGGAGATACAACATCAACACCAGGATTGATAAAAGAAAAAAAATAAATTGATAAAGTTTTATCAATTGGTAAACTGATAAAATTTTCAACAAAATCAAAAACTTTTGCTTTTTGAAGGATACCATTAAATAAATGAAAAGGTAATCCACAGACTAGAAAAATGCATTTGTGGGCCAAGTGTCACCGGTGGCTCATGCCTGTGATCCCAGCACTTTGGGAGGCCAAGGCAGGCGGATCACTTGAAGTCAGGAGCCTGGCCAACATGGTGAAACCCTGTCTCTACTAAAAATACAAAAATTAGCTGGGCATGGTGGCTCATGCCTGCAATCCCAGCTACTGGCGAGGCTGAGGTAAAAGAATCACTTGAACCCAAGAAGCAGAGGTAGCAGTGAGCCAAGATTGCACCACTGCACTTCAGGCTGGGTGACAGAGTGAGACTTCGTCCCAAAAGAAAAAAAAATGCATTGGCAAAAGTGTATCGCATAAGATATGCTTGTATCCACAATATACAGAGAACTCGAACAATTCAATAAGAAACAAAAACAAGCCAATAAAATAAACCCTAACTAAATTAATATTATTAATAAATACTTAAAAATAGGCAAAAGATTTGAGTAGACACTTTACTAAAGGTGATATAAGGATGGCAAATAAGCTCATGAAAAGAGGCTCGACATCACTAGCCATTGGGAAATAAAGATTAAAAAGAAAATGAGACAGCACTACAACCAATTAGAATGACTAACAATCAGAAAGCTGACAATGTCAAGTGCGGGAGAGGATGCTGAACAACTGGAACTCTTATGGATCGCTGGTGGGGACATAAAATGATACAGCCACTTTGAAAAATAGTTGGCAGTTTCTCATAAAGTTGAATGTACACTTATCTTACAACCCAGTTAGTTACTCTTACACCTAGATATTCACCCAAGAGAAATAAAAATTACGTTCACAGAAAAACCTTCAAGCAAATGTCATAGCCATTACAATTATGTATAAGTAATTGCCTGAAAATGGAAAGAACTCAAATGTTCTTTATTATTATTATTTTTGAGACGGGTCTCACTCTGTCATCCAGGCTGGAGTACAGTGGCATGATCTCAGCTCACTGCAACCTCTGCATCCAGGGTTCAAGCAACTGTCCCGCCGCAGCCTCCTGAATAGTTGGGATTACAGGCATGTGCCACCACTCCCGGCTAATTTTTTGTATTTTTAGTGGAGATGGGGTTTTACCATGTTGGCTAGGCTGGTCTCGAACTCCTAACATCAAGTGATCTGCCCTCCTCGGCCTCCCAAAGTGCTGGGATTACAGGCGTGAGCCACCTCTCCTGGCCCCAAATGTTCTTTAACTGGTGAATGGATAAATAAAATGTGGTACATCTGTACGATGGAATACTACTCAAAAATAAAAAGAGATGAACTACTCTGCTGTGGAAAACAGTAGAGAGGTCCCCAAAAATTTGAAAATAAAATTACCATATGATCCAGCAATCCTGTCTCTGTGTGTATATACAAAAGAATTGAAAAAAAGGATCTCAAAGAGAATTTTTACATCCATGGCCACTGCGGCACTATTCATAATAGCCAAGAGGTATAAGAAACCTAAATGTCCATTGACAGATGAATGGATAAAGAAAATGTGGCATATATGTACAATGGAATATTATTCTGCCTTTAAAAAGAAGGAAATCTTGTCATATACTAGAACATGGATGAAGCTTGAGAATATTTTGCTAAATGAAATAAGTCGGTCCTAAAAAGACAAATACTGCATGATTCCACTTATATGAGGTATCTGAAGTAGTCAAACTCTTAGACAAAGTAGAATTGTGGTTGCCAGGGCCTGGGGGAGAGAGAGAATTGTTTAATGGATATAGAGTTTCAGTTTTGCTAAGATGAAAAAGTTCTAGGAATCTATTGCACAACAATGTTCACATAGTTAACAATACTGTACTGTGTATTTAAAAATGGTTGTATGCAGCCATAAAAAGGAACAAGATCATGTCTTTTGCAGGGACATGGATGAAGCTGGAAGCTGTTATCCTTAGCAAACTAACGCAGGAACAGAAAACCAAATACCGCAAGTTCTCACTAAGTGGGAGCTGAACAATGAGAGCACATGAACACAGGGAAGGGAACAACACACACTGGGGCCTATCGAGGGAGGGGAGGAGCATCAGGAAAAGCAGCTAATGCATGCCGAGCTTAATACCCAGGTGATGGGTTGATAGGTGCAGCAAACCACCATGGCACACGTTTACCTACGTAACAAATCTGCACATCTTGCACATGTACCCTGGAACTTAAAATAAAATAAAAATCGTTCAGATGGTAAATTTTATGTATTTTTTTGCCACAATAAGAAAGGAATGAATTACTGATACGTTACTACTACTGATACGACAACATGGATGGCTCTCAAATGTAATATGCGAAGTAAAAGGAGACAGACTCATAAGACTACTGACTGCATGATTCCATTTATATGACATTTTAGAAAAAGTAAAACTCTAGAGACAGAAAATAAATCTGGTTTTCTGATTTCCAGGTCCTGGGGATAGGGTAGAGGTTGACTACAAAGGAGCATAAGGAAATTTTCTGAGATGATAGAACTGTTCTATGTCCTGATTGTTGGGGTGGTGGTTACACAACTGCATGCATTTGTCAAAACCTGAAAAACCGAACACTGAAAAGAATGAGGAGTGGGTAAATTACACAATGGTGATGCCATTAATCAAAGCCAGGAGGTGAGAAATTGAGGGTTTGGCAGGAAAGAGTTTGATTCTGAACATGGTAAATTTGTGACACTGATGATGACATCCAGGTAGAGAGAATCAAAGGTGGTTATTGATGGGAATGGTTCCAACTGTTGGTGGAGGATGACCCCTAAAGACAAAAATCCTGGGAGACAGCTACATCTGAGAGAAGGAAGACAGAAGGAAGAGAAGCCATTGAGGATAAAGAAAACAACCTAGAAGCAGGAGGAAAACTGGAAGTTTCAGTGTCCCAGAAACCAAAGGAAGAGGAAATTTCAAGAAAAATGAGGGTTACAATAATGTTAAACACTTCAGAAAGATGAGGCAGATAAGGGCTGAGAACAAGGAAGTCAATACACAGTTTAATGGAAGAACTTGTATTAAGTGTGAAACAACGTATAATACAATTACAACACCCATTGCAAAAGGGTTCAGAGGAGGGTGTGAGTGATTTCCAGTGTAGTGACACTCCGATTTTGTTTGAATGGACTTAAAGAGTATTCAGATTTTAGCCAAACTCCATTTGGGCATTTTCTAGAAAGAAAACCCAATCTACAAGCAGGCAAGTTTTTGGTCGCAGGTTTCAACATACACATAGCTCATTGCATGCTTTTGGAAATGTTCCATGTCAACATTCAAGATTGCGCTGTCCTGGAAGTAAAACACTGTGCAAATTTATCCATGCAATCAGTAACCATTTCCCAAAGCAGCATTATGTACAGATTATTCAGGTTCAGCCTTTATGTAGCACAAAATAGTGTCTTTCGATGAGAGTGAGAAAGAAATAGCACCATCCTATCTGCAGAAATCTATGTACATTTCCAGTCAAGTATCTGAGTGACTGTGGCTATGGTGGAAGCCTTGGCCTCTGTGCTGTCTGTGTGTGTTTGTTGGGGAGGTGGGGGTATTGTTGCATGTATGTGGCTGTCAAGAAGCTTAGAATCCCAACACTTGCCCTAAACATCCAAAATTTCATCAGGCTCTTTTTTTATAAATCAGCTTTGTTGAGGTATAATTTATAGATCATAAAACTCACCAATTTTAAGTGATTGGTGATGTTTAGTAAATTAAAGTGATTAAATGATGTTTAGTAAATTTATATAGACGTGCAGCTATCATATCATCACAGTCCAGTTTTAGATCATCTCAACATTCCAGAAAATTCCCTCATGTCCATTTGTGGTTTATCTTCACTCCTTCTCTTGGCCCCAGGCAACCACTGATTTGTTTTCTGACTCTGTAGTTCTGCCTCTTTCTAGAAATTTCATATAAATGGAACCATTCAACATGTAATTTTTTTATCTGCCTTTTTTTCACTTAACATAATGTTTCTGAGGTTTATCATGCTGTAGTAGGCATCAGTAATTCCTTTATGTTGATGAATGGTTTAGTCCATTGTATGGACACACCACATTTTTTTTTTATCCATTCACCCGTTGATGGACATTAAGATTGCTTCTGGTTTTTGGCTATTATGAAGAAAACTACTGTGATCATTCATGTACAAATCTTCATGTGGGCATATGTTTCATTTCATGTGCTCATTAGCTAGCTATTCTTACGTCTCTTTGGTAAAATGTCTATTCAAATCTTCTGCTTACTTAAAAAAATTGAGTAATATTGCCTTTGCTATGGTTTGAATGTGTCCCCCAAAGTTCATGTGTTGGACACTTAATCCCCTCCCAATGCAACAGTGTTCAGAGGAGGGATCTTTAAGAGGTAATTAGGTCATGAGGCTCTACTCTCATGGGTGAATTAATGTCATTATCTTGGGAGTCAGTTCATTATTGTGGAAGGGGGTTTGTTAGAGAATCTGTTCACCTCTTGCTCTCTCTTGCACTCTCTCACACCCATGTGATGCCTTCCACCATGTTATGACACAGCAAGAAGACCTTCAGCACATGTGGCCCCTTGATCTTGGACTTCCTGGCCTCCAGAACTGTGGGCCAAATACATTTCTGTTCATTATAAATCCCCCAATTTGTGGTATTGTGTTATAGCAGCACAAAACGACTAAGACAGTCTTATTATTGAGTTGTAAGGGTTGGCTCTGGCTTCTTAATGGCAGACTAACCCTCAAGTCTGAATGAACAGTATGTTCTTGGAGGATGGGTTAATTCTCCCTATCTTTTGCCTTCACCTGCCACTGTCACTAACATGTCCCCAGTCTCCCTCTCTAGCACCCACTTCTTTCACCTCTTTCAGAATCTTTCAGGATCAAAATCCCAGGCATTAAGCTCTACATGGCACTATCACTTTCTCTTACCAATCTCATGCATGCTGAAGTCCTGGTCCTCCACCATGACCTATGACCTACTTACTCATTGAAAACAAACTCCCAGTCACCTCGTCTTATTCTCTAATAGTTCCCCTACCTCCTCACAGGAACTGAAACTCAGCTTTCAGTTGAAGTCACAATTTCTTTGCAACTCTTGCCAATAGGGGTCACACCTCTCCCTCTTGCTGATTCACAGAGAGGTGGATGAGATGACTTCTTGCTTCCCATGCCACACTCAGATCTCTGACCCATCATCTCTCAAAAGCTACCAACCCTTTCTCTTCAAGTGCATGTCCCCCATGAACATTATTTTCTGACTACTTTGTTTGCACATTTTCCTTTTTTAGTTGTCATCCTTAAGGACTGAAACATCAAATGTTTCTCTATCTTCAGACATCACAGTCCTCTGACTTACAACATGTGAATAGAATAAGTGTACTCTCCATTCCATTCAACACCTGTGCTCCTAAGCACACTCTAGACCTCCAAATCACTCAAGTTACTCAGCTTCCAAGACCCTTCTGGTGTACTGAGTAGCAGTGGACTCTGTTGAGCATCCAATTTCTCCTTGAAACTTTCTCTTACTCTGACTTTCATGGTGGTCTTTGCTTCTGGGTCCCTTACCTCACTGCTTTTCTCTTTCACTTTATATATGTAGTTGAATAATTGCTTTTGGACTACTGAATAATTGCTTTTGGACTCTCAAAAGCATATTCCCAGCCTTGACCCCTGCTATGGACTGAATTGTGTTCCCCGGAAATTCATATGTTGAAGCTCTAAGCCCCACTGTGACAATGTTTAATGATGGGGCCATTTAGAGGTAATTCAGTTTAGACAAGGTCATGAGGGTGGGCATTCATGCTGGGATTAGTGCCCTTCTAAGAAGAGATACTGGAGAACTGACTCTTATTCTTTTAGCCATGTGAGGACACAGCAAGAAGGTGGCCATCTATAGGCCAGGAAGAGAGCCCTCAATAGAGCCCAACCATGCTGACATCCTGATCTTGGACTTCTAGCCTTCAGAATGGTTAGAAATACATTTTTGTTGTTTAAGCCAACCAGTCTGTGGTCTATTGTATGACAGCCCAGGCTGAATAATACATTTTTTACAAGTTGCAGATTCACATTTTCAATTGCCTGATGGACTTCTCTGCCTGGACATTCTACTCCCAAGGCAAACTCAGTGTGTTTAAGGCTCAACTTGCTATTTTTGTTCTGAGTCCAGCTTTTGCTTCTGTGCTTCATATATGTGTTATTGCATGAGCATATATCTTTGCTAATCTTTGACTTTTTATCAATTCCTTGGTAAATACTTCTGATTCTACCTCTGAGATGCTCCTCCTTTCATCTCTTCCTTTCCATTCTCATTGTGTCTTATTTCAAGTTCCACTTCTCACTTCATCTTCCTGCTTCTACTCCTTTCAAGTTGTCTTGGAGAATGATTGATATGGTTTGGATTTGTGTCCCCATTCAAATCTCATGTTGAATTATAATCCCCAGTGTGGGAGCTGAGGCCTGGTGGGAGGTGACTGCATCATGGAGGTAGATTTCTCCCTTTGGTGCTGTTCTCGTGATAGAATTCTACGGAGATCTGGTTGTTTAAAAGTGTGTGGCACCTCTCCCCTTGGTGAAAGCTTGTCACCACCTTGGTCCTGCTCCTGCCATATAAGATGCTCCCCCTCCCCCCACTTGGTCCTGCTCCTGCCATGCAAGATGCCTGCTCCTGCTTTGCCTTCTGCCATGGGTAAAAAGCTCCCTGAGACCTCCCCTTAGTGCTGGGGCTTTGCCAGGTGGGGCTGTGAGAAGAGGGCCACCATCCTCTAGACCCCAGAAAGGTAGATCCACTGACAGTTTGCACCGTGTGCCTGGAAAAGCTGCAGGCACTCAATGCCAGCCGATGAAAGCAGCCATGGGGCTGAGCCCTGTAGAGCCACAGGAGCAGAGCTGCCCAAGGCCTTGGGAGCCCATCCCTTGCATCAGCGTGCCCTGGATATGAGACATGGAGTCAAAAAAATTATTTTGGAGCTTTAAGATTTAATAACTGCCTTGCTGGGTTTTGGACTTGCATAGGGCCTCGGACTTGTGTAGGGCCTGGAGCCCCTTTGCTTTGGCCAATTTCTCCCGTTTGGAATGGGAGCATTCACCCAATGCCTGTACCCCCGTTGTATCTTGTAAGCAACTAACTTGTTTTTTTATTTTACAGGCTCATAGGCAGAAGGGACTTGCCTTATCTCAGATGAGACTTTGGACTTGGACTTTTTAGCTGATGTTGGAATGAGTTAAGATTTTGGGGGACTGTTGGGAAGGCATGATTGTGTTTTGAAATGTGAGAAGGACGTGAGATTTGGGAGGAACTAGGGCGGAATGATATGGTTTGACTCTGTGTTCCCACCCAACTCTCATGTAAAATTGTAATCCCCAATGCTGAGGGAGGGGCGTGGTTGGAGGTGATTGGATCATGGGGGCAGATTTCTTCCTTTGGTGCTGTTCTTGTGATAGAGTTCTCAGGAGATCTGGTTGTTTAAAAGTGCATGGCACTTCCCACAGCCCCGTTGGTCCTGCTCCTGCCATGTAAAATGCCTGCTCCTATTTTGCCTTCTGCTATGGGTAAAAGCTCCCTGAGGCCTCTCCAGCCATGCTTCCTGTAGAGTCTGCAGAACTGTGAGCCAATTAAATCTCTTTTTATAAGTTACCCAGGCTCAGTATTTCTTTATAGCAGTGTGAGAACGGACTAATACAATGATGAAAGATTGCAGTCTAATCTGATTACTTTTTTGTTTCCACATTACCAGAGAATAAATTCCATACTCTCTAGTTCAGTTTTCAAGGAACTCTATGACCTAGTATAAGTATATTTTTCTCCATTTATTCTCATAACTTCCCTCTCTGTGTTCTGTTCTTGCCAAATAACTAAGTACTGTTTCCTTATAACTTTACAGGTGCTTATACTTTCCTGCTCTTCTGCCACACCTGGATCGGTATTTCCATTGCCCAGCTGCCCAACTCCAAACCTGCTGTCCTTTAACCCAATTCAAATGCCACTTCTCCATATGGTGGAAGGGGAATGTGGTGAATCTGGCTGCCCAGGTGAGTATTTCTCCCAGCCTCAGCACTCAGGTGCATGCCTTTTGAGAGCTTGTTCTGCGCAAGAAGGATGGCCTTTGCAGATAAGGGAAGGCACTTTACTAGCTAGGCCCAGGGATCATGCCCTCACTGCTAGACTGCCTCAGTTACAGCTTCCAGATTTCTTGATGTGGAATTCTTGCTCGCCTGGGGCTATGAGAATCAGGGCCCATTCCAGGCCACCTGTGTCACAGTCATTGTTGACCATCTCATCTCTTCCCTTCTGAGCCAAAGTTCTTGGCCGACAGGGTTCATGCCTGGTTCAGCTCTGGGCTTCCTAAGGAGCTGGTATGTTGCCCCACTCAACAAATATTTTTGAACAAATGAGTGAATTTATGAAAATATACAATGTGTACGTATCAGACAAGTCCATTTTTACATATGAAGAAAACTGGAATTGGTGGTGTTGAATTTTTTTAAAAAATTAAGTAGTGATAAAACTTCAAAAAAAGTTGGATATGAAAGTAAAAGAGGAGAAACTCAGAGATAACCAATACATTACCACATCTGACTTGGTGGTAAACTTTTGAGTTTGCAGACTTTCCAAAGCCATCCACTTCACTGGCAGCTTTGCACCTGTTTTGTTGTGTACACTATAGTATTCTTTATCATACATGTCTCTGGCAAGACCAAAATCAGCAACCTTGACTGTGAATTTTTCATCCAGCCTACAGAAAGGACAAAAATTATTACCCGTGGCTGAAATAGAATAATTTACAATGATGCTGAATATCTACAGATTAAACAAGTGGCTTCAGTATTTGAAATCCATAACTTCTGAAGGAAGTATTTCATCTGGCCTCTATTGACTAACACTAAATTACAACAGAATTCTTGAATAAAAATGCTTGACATTGACATTGCCAATTCAACAGGCTGAGGAAAGAGATCATGAATTGTATGGCATAAGAAAGTCCTTTTTGCTTTAATGTAGATCTGCAGTAGTAAGGCTGTCTCCCCTGTGGGTTTACTTTGGTTGCTAAATGAAGTATGCTAATTAACTACCCAAGCAATCACCAATCTTCGCTTGTCAACTGATTAGCGATACTCAGTTTTATGGGAGAGCATGACAGGGGACTGATACTTTACTTTTTCATTCTTAAATGAGCTAGGTTAGCACACAAAACTCATATATCCCACCACTGAGGTAATAGAGAACTAGGATACACAGTAAAGCATCTAAGAAAAACAGCGAAGTTCAACAAAAATCAATTTCCGCTATCTGGGGCTATGCATCCTCTGTTTAAGCTGGCTTTTATGTTGTTACAGTGACCAAAACCAAGGTAGGAAATTAATAGCACACCCTTTTTCATTCACACATACCATAAGTCATGAATCAGTGCTATGCAAGGGAAAACATGAACTCAATTACAAACTGTTGACTGTTGTATTACATAGCCAGGCAGCCAGACACAAATAAAGTTCTTTGTATATTCATTGCCAAATACCATTTTTGGTAGGGCTTCTGCAGGCTGGCTTCAAATCCACTCTTGGGAAGTTGCAATATGTTGGTATTTGTGTTCCCAGCCCTCTCCTTTTCACTGTCAAATGCTGAAGATCAAATTCTCCCTCCCCAACACTAATGCAGTGTGAAACCACAACATTGAGAGCTACTGGAGGGAAGGACTGAGAAAAGCAAAAGTACACAACAGCTGTTTAAGACCCCCTATGGAGAATCCTTTTAAATTCTCTGTTGGATAAAGTCTGAAAGTCCCACCCACATCCCCAGGGCTTACACATCGATTTAAGATTGTAACAGAAATAAAGGACTTTTGCATAAGAAGAGAAAACAGCTTAACTAGCATTGAACAGTGGGAAACAGATTCCTCCTTGTCACTTAATTTGGATTGTGGCACAGAGATTCTGATACTTACATACAGTTTCTTGCAGCCAAGTCTCTGTGGACAAACTTTTTGCTTGCAAGATATTTCATGCCTTTGGCTACTTGAAGACCAAAGCCAATAAGATCTTTTACAGTTGGATTCTGCAGTCAAAGAGAGTTAGAAAAGCATAAACTAAGCATCTACTGTTCTAATTTTGACCTTAGAATTCTGAAATATTTATTTATAAAAAATTATCTTGTCTCAAAAATTAGTTTGGTCTTAATGGCTCAAGCCTGTAATCCCAGAACTTTGAGAGGCCAAGGCGAGAGGATGGCTTGAGGCCAGGAGTTTGAGATCAGCCTGGGCAACACAGTGAGATCCTGTCTTTACTCCCATCCACCGCCCACAAAAAAATTAGCCTGGTGTGGTGGTGTGCACCTATAGTCCCAGCTGCTTAGGAGTCTGAGGAAGGAGGATTGCTTGAGCCCAGGAGTTGGATACTGCAGTGCACTATGACTGTGCCACTGCACTCCAGCCTGGGTGACAGAGACCTTGTCTCCAAAAACAAAAAACAAAACAACAACAACAAAAAGTGTGCCCCATTGACAGATCAACCATTTGTTAAGTATTTATTGTATGCAACACACCAGGCTAATTGTTTTCATAAATTACAGCTACTTCTACACTTCTGTCAGGCAGGTGTTACAGGCTCCATTTTCCAGATGGGAAAATGGAGGTGTTTTAAAATGTAGTTTTATTATTTTCCAGGTATGATGAGGCCAACAGAACAGGAGACAACTGCCATTGAAAAGATAGTTTGCTATTCACAGTTTGCAAGAGGAGGAGGCACACCCTGTCATGCAGGGTCACATGGGGGAAGCCCTGGGCTCTAGAGGCAGAGAGAGAGAGGGGAAAAACATGAGCAAGAGCCTTCATTGCAGTTTCCCTGGGAAGAAACTGGTAAGGCAGGGTAAGCAGGTTTGGAGCTGGCCAATCTGGAGTATTTCAGCAGGCTCCGAGGATAGTTCTAGTTGTCTGGAACTGGGCCCTGGGGTGATTAGGGCAGGTGGATAGTAGCCCAAAGTGTAAGAGCCTGATAAAGGAGGAGGTTAGATAAGGGCTCTGGATTGGTTGGTTTGCACATGACAGGTATGCTTTGAAGGCAAGCTGTTTACTATTTGCAGGAATTAGCTAGCCTTGGGAGGGACAGTTCCTCCAGGGTTAGTAAGGCCCAAGATGTTAGAACATCAGAAGCACAGTGAATAGAGGAGGCTCAGAAAGAAATCACCCCAAACCACTCAGCTGTCAAGTCTGGTGATGTCACTGGCTGGCAATCAGGAATGGGGTATTCCCCTTCAACAGTCACTGAGGAGTTTGTCAGTGCAAGATGTAGTCAGTGGGGACCCTGCAAAAGGGCTGTAGCCCCACTCAATGCACACAGCATAGAGAAAGGCCAGTTCCTGGTTTTAGGTTTCTCTTTAAGACACATCTGGGTTTGTGGTTGCTCTCAGTATCAGCTCCTTGGATTAAAAAAGGCCATGGCACTATTCCGTTCTGGATAACAGGAAATCTCTATCATGCTTTAATCCTGGGGTAACAGTACCCTAGAGAAGGTAGCACCTCCAGCCACATTAATCCATCAGGGTAATAACAAAAGTTGAAGTGGGAAAGTGGGGTCTGTCAGGGCAGCTGTGTGCTTTGTAAGGTCAATTCGCCTTATCTGCAAAAGTTCACTGCCAGGGAATGTTTTATTCTTTTGGCTGAGTAATATCTCATTACTCTCCTAGAGCTTATTTTCTCTGATAATTTGACCCCATATTTATAAAGTTGCTTTTGATCAACTTCATTACCTCCCACAGAGACTTGGAGAGCAGGAACCGAGACGGAGCTTGAGGCCTTCTATGAATTCAGTTCTTGAGATTCTTATTCCCACCCTCCCTGGTCCTGGCCTGGTGACTTTTAGGTCCTGGCATAAATGTCAAGAAAAAAATCTACCACTTGCAAGAGGCTAAGAACCTTTTTTTGTAACCCTTAGCTGATTCATTCAACAATTATTTACTGCGAGTCTATGTGCTAAACACTGTTTTAGGTGTTGGAGCCACAGCAGTGAACAAAATACACAAAAATCCTACCCTCATGAGCTTCCATTCTAATGGGATGAGGGTGTGTGTACATATATATGCATACATATACATCTATATAGCTATTGTTTATTTGTTTATTATCTACTACAGTGCTATTCAATAGAAATATAAAGCAAGACACACATGTAATATAAAATTTTCTAGTAGCCATACTCAAAAGTAAAAAGAAACAGGTGAAATTAATTTTCACAATGTATTTTTCAACCCCCAAAATCCAAAATATTTCAGCATGTAATCAATATAAACAACTACTAGTGAGATATTTCACCTTCTTTTTTTTTTAATACTAAGTATTCAGAATCTGGGATGTATTCTACACCGTACAGCACATTTCAGTTCGAACTAGCCTCCTTTTACATGTGGCTCATGGCCATAGTATTGGGCAGCTTCAGGCAGCTTCATGCATGTATCAGATGACAGTTAAGTGTGATGGGGGAAAATAGAGCAGGGAAGAGGAGTCTGAAGCCATGAGGGTGGGTGGTCAGTTGCAATTTTAAACAGATTAGGGAAGGCTTATGTTGAAGATGGCATTACGGCCAAAAGCTGAAGAAGATGAGGAAGTGAGATACGTGGCTATTTGCGGGGAGAGTGTTCCAGGCTGAGGGAGCACAAGTGCAAAGTTCCTGAGGTGTGAGAGTGGATGGCAAGGACAAGGAACAGCAAGGAACGCATCTGGAGTTAATTTTTCAATGCCTTGTAGAGTTAACATTCCATATGGGCTGAGGCTTGCTCTGCTTCCACTTCTCCTGTGCTGTGCACAGTTTCTGGCACATAGTAGACATGCAAAGATGACTAAATGTCCCTATCAGAGGGAAGGTAGAGCAAGGTTGCTTGCAGAGCAAGTAAGAATCATTGCTCCAGGAAACCCTTCCAGGTGTCACTATTTCCCACCAGGATAGAAGACTTTGAGGTGCATTTGAATGATGCTAACATTTTAAATGTGCATCTTTGGCTACTAGCTTTTTAAAGACTCAGAGCAGGCCTATTTTGAAGGGATGGCTGGCTTACAGCTAGTTTGCCAGTTAGTAAGCTTGGCAGTCAACTTACATGAGTCTCATTTCGAATGAAATTTCGAAGATCTCCATGTTTCATGTATGGTAGGACCACCAGCGGAGACCCTTCACTTCGCAGGCAGATTCCCAGGAGCGAGAGGACATTGGGATGACTAAAATCTTTCATGATGATTCCCTCGGTCAGAAATTGGGAAACTTCTCCTATGTCAGTGATTCCTGAGAAATCCAGTGGTGGAGACATTAACTTCATTATGGAACAGTGAATACTTTTGTCAAATTTAGATAGGAAGAGCAATGAAATGGTAAACCACACAGTTAGCATCTTGTCCTGAGGGTTTGACTGCAGAGTGTTCTTTTTACATCACATCTGAGTGAATGATGCCACCGTGCACTGTGCCTTCCAGTCACCACCTATGCCCACTTTTGCAAGATAGAGTCCAACCAGCCACCAGTTTGTCTCCTATAAACTTAGTGCAAAGGTTATACTTAGGTTTCATAAAGACTGTCCATTTATTTCCCTCATGGTCAGACTTCCAACAAAATTAACCATGTAGAACACTACTTAGCATGTTGATTTATATTTTAAAAAGACTGAAATAATTGTGACAGTAAAGTATCTTGCAGGAAAATCTTTCATTTGTGCACTTAAAGCTTATTAAGTCCCATATAAAGTTTGTAGTAGAGCTGGTTAACATTTTTCAGGCTGCTGCAATTTGCAAGCAGAAAATGAGAAATGGGAGTAGAAAACGCAAGCATGTGAGACCTGTCAACACAGGCGGAGCCAGGAACACTATGTATGTGGAGTACACTGTTTGTGTAATATAGTAATTTATGGCTGTAATTATGGCTTGGGGTCACCAATAAAGACTTAGTTTGTATTTGGAAGCATTCCCTTAAACAGAGTATGCATTTCATCTTAAAAAGATTTTCTCAATAACAGCTAAAATTTTAAGTAATGTTCCAGCATTAAAAAGGGGTAGGTTTCATTTATTTAGGAAGTTCATGTATGTGGAATGCCTCACTCTCCAAAAATGTGGATAAATGAGGTATTACCATACTTATGATTTTTCAATTTTTGGCCAGCGTAGTTTTCTCCTGTTTGTCTTATTTCATTTTTTATCTTTTTAATGGAAGTTGTGGTTAAAAAATAATTATAGTAATGCCTCTGGGTAAAATGAGTCATTACTACTGTAGGTGCCAACATGCTTCCAATAGTTTCCAGAAATGTCACTTGCAAAACAAATATTATAAACCAAACATAGTTATAGTTAAATGATACTCAGTTCATCCAAGAACCTCATTTCTCCTACCCCCTTACTAATGAGGGCTCTGAGGGATCATTTCAGGGGAAGTAGTTCAATAAAAGTCTAGAACAAAACAAATTTTCAGGATTAGGCCCATAATTTCAGTGGTAGCTGATTTTTCCACAAGGGGAAAGTGTAAATCAACGTTTTATTATAAGCTATTTATTAGGTTGCAAACCACAAAAGTATACTCCATGGTTAAATAAAATGCCACTTACTGTTCAAGGATTTCACAGCACAGTGAATTTTCTTGCCATCATTGTCCAACAAAGTCCCATGATATACACAACCAAAATGCCCTGTGCAAAAGAAAGAACTTGGTTAGCACTGCGTAACATTTAATTATGAAATAATTATTTATCAAACCCTTTATGAGCTTCATTTTATTCTTTCTTCTTTCTATACAGCAAAAGAGTACATTTAAAAAATACTTTTAACAATACCACTATAGGTACGTAGGTGTGTTTGTAAATATATATGTAGATGCAACACATTTCACCCAAGGATATAAGCAATGTGATTATTTAATTCATGAATAAGTTGTAGATGATATGACTCATATTAAAGCCTAACCTAATAAAATATTCAACCACAGTGGAACCACTGAAAAGGTGAGTAACATCGGCCTCATCAAATAAATTTTTTTAAAGGATGACATAGTATTTTAAAATATGAAAATAAAGTTAACCCACATGAAGAACTATAATAAAATAAGTTCTCTATATTCTAATAAGCTGAAATGAAATAAAAATGTTACCATTAAAAATAGGATTAGTATTATAGAATAAGGATTTCCCCATTAGTCACTGGTTAATACGTAATCCAGGTTGGCAGAAACTGAAAGGCAGTTGCCCAGATGAAGCAAATTCACCCTGACTCACTTCATCCAGTTCTCTCTGGCTTTAACCACATCATTTTCCCAATGGTAGCCTTTTATCCAGTGGCAGTAATTTCCCCCAGAGGTGCCAAATGTCTGATAGCTGTGTAAGTCATTCACTAATTAATTCATCCAGCTGGCCAAGACACCATGAGTGCCTAGTATGTGAGTGTCAGGCATTAGGCTGCCCTCTACTAATGCAAAGAAGAATAAAATAAAACTTATGCTTTTGAGTGCTCCTATTCTCCTGCAGAAAAACATATAAATACATAGTAGCTAATATTTATAGAGCTGTTAATGATTATAACTTCAAAAGAGAAATAATTGCCATTTTAGTACCTTTCATGATAAAAAATTCTAGTTTTCCAAATGTGTAGAATTAGAACACAATTAGTGAGTCCACACACTCTAAAATTGATGCAATTACTGGGATTTATAGGCCTATGACAGAACTATATATTACTCTGAAGAGAAATGGAAAGATGTTTGTTAACAGTGAAGCCACTCTTGGGGAAGAAGGAGCACACAAAGGATTACGCTCTGGGGTGTTTGACAGAAGAATGTGTGGATGCTACCACAGGAAAGTGAGAAGGCCTTGTGTTCATATAAGGGAAATCACGCCATCAGCTTCTCTTGTATCACACTGGCAGATGCCTGTACAACCTCTTGCAGCACATATAGAATAAAAGGGATCAGAGGCCATTTAGTATTAAGGGTAAAAGCTTTTTAGAAAAAAAAAAACAACAAGAAGAATGAAGTTCATTTCCCGGTTTTTGATTGGTTTCTTTTCCTGCTAAATATTTCCACAAATACTGTTTATGCTAGCTGTTATTGCTGCTTTGGCTAGCTTATTACAAATATTCATTTATCTTTGTATAAAGAAATTGGAGTGCATTGTAGAGATGATATATGTTGCTTTAGATCAGGAGAATGCTATAAATTCTCTGTCTTCTGATGCTGTCCAGCAGTGTACAAACTGCTATAAACCAGGCTTCATAGAGTTTGTCACTGTTCTCAGGGTAAAGAAAGACTGGAGAGAGATTGAATAAAAATACTCAAAATTAAAGGAGTGATATTTATTTATTTATAAGTATTTATTTTTTTGACATGGAGTCTCGCTCTGCTGCCCAGGCTGGAGTGCTGTGGCACAACCTTGGCTCACTGCAACTTCCACCTCCTGGGTTCAAGCAATTCTCCTTGCTTCAGCCTCCCCAGTAGTTGGGATTAAAGGCACCCGCCACCACGCCTGGCTAATTTTTGTATTTTTTTAGTAGAGACGGGGTTTTGCCATGTTGGCCAGGATGGTTTTGAACTCCTGACCTCAGGTGATCCACCTGCCTCGGCCTCCCAAAGTGCTGGGATTACACGTGTGAGCCACTGCGCCTGGCCCTGAGTTTTAGAAGAAAGTAAATGGCACCTTTGAAGAAACTATAATTGCTAGTACACACAGGACGAGGACGAATTGTGATTTAGTTCTAATATATTTGGGGGATTATCCAATTGCTTCCATGCACAAGGGCAAATCCCCACGGATATGATTTACAGGGCTACATTTCTATAGAACAGAAATCAAGTACACTTGTTATCACTGCTCTGTCAGTTGCTTTCACCATTGTCTAAGTTCCTAATCTGCAAAGGCCAAAGATAAAATGCTTACTGGAAAATCGTATTTAACAAAAAGCTGAGTGGAAATACTTACCTCTTCCTATGACTTCATTGAAATGCACAATCAGGCTACTGGGCCCAATCACTACATGCTGCACTGCCTGGACCAGCTCTGGATTTAGAGCACTGAGGTCAATGTGGACAGTATTTTGCAGTAATGGACTGGATATATCAGAGTCCCCACTAGTTAGGATGGGGGACATGTCTGTCAGAGGATACTGCACTTGTCGGCATGAACCGTTCTGAGATGAATTAGGAAACTGATCTGTAAGATGAAGGAAAATTATTAAAGAACAACAGTAAAACCTCATTTAATGGGGACTGAAACAGGAAGAGCTTTTATAATGGAATTAGTTTGATAAAAATGATAATAAATTGGGAAAAGATACTAAGTTATATATACAAGCATTTCATTAGATGTTTACAGATTTTCATTTAAGTAGACTAAGTATTAATTTTGAAAGCTTTTTACCCTCATTTCCTTAGACATTTCTCTCTTTATCAATAGCAAAAAGCCATGCTTATGGTTTATTTTTGAATATACTATGTCCTTAAGAATGGAAGCAGTGGTAGCAGCAAAGGTAGTTGAGCAATTGCCTCGTCTCACAAAAATCCAGCTCAAATATAAGAAAATGAAAAAGATGCCTTTTGAGACACTACTATTTGTTAATGGAATTAATTACTATTGTGCAAAACCTATGGATTCCTGGCCAAGGGAAAAATACACATATGATTAGAAATAAATAATGGCTATATTCCCAAAACTGAAAGCTTTTCACATTAGTGGTAAATTCTCCACTGTGCAGTGATGGCACTGGATTTAGTGTTACTGTTGTTTAGAGAAGGCAGGTTAGATCTCGGTTAGTGGACCATCCTTGTTGTTTAGTTAAGGACACTATGAAAGGGGTAAGCATTCTTTATAAGTTGATCTTTATAACCAAAGCTCTGTAAGAACCTCAGGCAAAGTTCCCTTTTGCAAGGAGAATTTTTTTTTTTATTTCAGGGGAAGAAATGGTGCTGATAGTCAATTTCTTAATGCCAAATAGGGCATTTCCACTTTCCCTTTCTCTTTCCACTGGGAATTCACACATATCAAGGAGGGGGCATCATAGCCACAGCAACTGACATGAAGATAAACTAGGCATAGTATTGAAATGTATTAGTATGTAACACAGGGAGAAGGTTATGTGGGGGTTCCTCATTAGCACCAAAATGTATCATTTGTTTGCAAATAAGCAGGAGAATCAGAATCTGAGAGAAGGGCATAAAAAGAATGCTGTTAGTACCTTGACTATTCCTAATCCCACTTGAGCATTTTTAGTATTTTCTACAGTGGACAGTTTGATTAATAATAAATGAACTTGGCCAAAAGTGGTTCCAGAAAAGCGTTGGGCATCAATTACAGTTATAGTAGACACTAGCCAGAAAAAAGACAAGAGCAACCTTTAAAGAAGGATGTGGAACATCAGTGAAGTACCTGAAATGTTGGGTGAGTGAGGAAGGAAGGAGCCTAGCTGGGTACTTGCTCCCTTAATTCCAAGGAGTCAGGGTCTCTAAACCTTCCCCAGGGGATTGGGAATGCCAATCAGCCTCTCTAAACTCAGGTCTTTCATTCTCACTTCCTAAAGCCTTTGCATCTGGAGATCAGGGCTCTAAATGCTTAAGGGTGCACAGATTGAGGGAAATCCTTGGTGAGACATGGATAAAAGCCCTTTGGCATGAAAACGTGACTCTTCAGCTAAATTCCAACATGTGCAGAAACCAATTGAAACCATCAGTGTGCCACCCTGATGTCACACCACATAGCACTCTAGGTCTCCGTGAAAAAGTCTGATGAGAATGCTGTCCCCACCAGATGTAGAGAGGAAAGCTCTGCAGTTGCCTCTTCATTAGGTTTTGGCTGTGCACCTATTTTCTCATTCTCTCTAAATGACCCTCTTTTACCTGTTTTCTTTTCATGTCTCCAAGGAGCAGGCTCAATGGAGAAAAGAGTGTGAAACTCAACCTTCTTAGCAATGATGACAGAGCTTTGGTGAGTAAGGAGGTTCAAAGAAGATTAGGTAAGTTTTTTTTTCAAAGAAAATTTGTAAATTTTAATGATCTCAGATTAGAACTATGAAATGTGCATATAAAATACTAAATAGATGCACTAAATGTGCACATAAAATACTAAATAGATCTAAATTTCAAAACAATAAACTAGGTTTGATTTTTCCACACGGTTAAACGAATGGATTTTTAAAGGTGAATGGAATCAGGGCAAAGACAATGTTTACTATGTGTATCTCCATAGAAATAACATAAACTTCAAAACATAAGAGGTAGTAAGTGTTGAAAATGTTAAAATGTTAAGTGCTTCATTGCTCTTGAACTTGTTTGGATGAGCAACTTCTAACTTTTCCAGTATCCTCAATGATCTGTGACTCATTTTATTTGTCCAATGGTAAATATTCAACCAAGGAAATGCTTGTACTTGACTCACATCCTGTAACTTCTAAAGATAATGGAGCTGATACAATACAGACCTTTTGCTTTTACCAGGAGATTTAAATAAAACAACATGAAAACTCTGATTAACCTGAACATTACTAGGCATAGTGTTTTACAAAGCTGATGATATTGACCCCTCCTTTTTTTCATGGCATAATTGAAGGTTTTCCTTGGCTAAGTCTCAAAATACATTCAAGTCCTAGAATATGGTGGGAAAAAGGCTGTGTACTAACAGTTCATTGAAAACACTTCGAAGAATTACTAACAGTATAATTTCAATGTTTGGGCTTCAACAGGTAAAAAATGTAGCAGTTCCAACTTACATTTAAATAAGTATATTTTGTAACTTAACTCTTCCTGGATTGTAAAAGAGAGCTTCGCAATTTCTTACTATTGCACTTAGATGATAAACAAATTACTTTTGCTCAAATTAACCTTTTTGTGAAATGAGAGCTTATGGACTCTAAAATCATAATGTAATATATACATGGGTTCTTTTAAAATTAAGAGCCATGTAATTTTGTGTCAAATACTTACTTGGCAGAGGTAAATACTTCCTTTAGGTTTTTATAAAAATATAAATGCAAAACCAAAAATAAACAACAATGTCACAACCCACTGAGGTATATGTATAGGTATTTCTCAGAACAATAAACTGAAATATACCTTCTGGAAAAGTAGCTCGGTAGTCTACAGATTCATTTGAAACCATTTCTGTAGTTGGGCTTACACTTCGGGCACTTACAAGCCTATCCAAATGAGGAGTGTGTACTCTTGCATCGTAGCGAACTAATTCACTGCCCAGATCTTAAAACAGAGAGAAAGAAAGAGCTTGTTAAAGACGGCTATCATGGGCCCCAGGAGACTTTGACCCAGTGCCCAGAACTCATGGGTTTTATGGACTACATATAAGACAGCACACAAGAATCGACGACAATCTTAAACTGTAATGACTGTGTTCTTAAGGTAACTTCTAAAAATGAACAGTAACAAAAATGCACCTTTAATTTGCTTTCTCTTTTTCAGCCACAGGAAAAACCCAAGTAGTAATAACAGTGCTGTTGATATTGAGACAACACCAGCAATCAATCCTGTGAAATTCTGATCTGGTTGAACTATTACTTTTCCAAGGACGGTTGAAGAAATTGCTTGCTTCCACTAAAAATGACAAATAAAGAAAAGTCAGCATTTAGCCATGATAGATATTTGTACTACACAGGTTGTAGCACTTTGGGTCCCAAATACCAACTGGTTATTACCATTCTACAAATGGCATAACTGCCTTCAGGATAATAAGAGATTCCTCAATTATGCTCCAGTGTTCAAATAATTAGGGGACACTGATCCCTTAAGTACTTATGTGGTACTTAGCTGTTTGTATTTGTAACTAGGTATTAGGGATAAAAAGATGTACAAAAAACAGGAACTGAAGTATAGAAGGGGAGACAGACATATAAATAAATGATTCCAGTACAGTGTGGTATGTACCATAGAAGTATGACTAAACAGTAATCAACAGAGACAATGGGACATTAATTCTGTCCTGGACGGTGGGGTGGAGGGCAGAGAAGACTTCCCATAAGAGGTAAATAATTGTACTGTTATGATGGAACAATAAAGTCTCAGAATATTTTTACTTCAGTTTTGATACACAGCAGAAATCTTTGAAGTCCCTTCTGGCTCTAACATTTTATGATTTTTAGGATTTATGGTCCTTCTGAAATTCCAACTCTGATCTCATGATTCAGCCTTTGATTTTCTAATTTTTGTGTGTTTTTCCATTTTATAACTTCAGAAGACTTCAGGAACCCTTTAAAAATCACTTACTCTTGGATAAATGTGGGATATATACAATGGAATATTATTCATCCACAAAAAGGAATGAAGTACCGACACAGGCTACAACGTGGATGAATCTTATGTTCATCCACGTGGATAAACATTATGTTAAGTAAAATAGGCCACACATAAAAAGACAAATATTGTATGATTCCACTCACATGAAATATCTAGAATAGGCAAATTCTAGAGAGAAAGAGTAGATTGGAAGTTATCAGGAGCCGGGGGAGAGAAGGGTATGTGGAGCTGCTGCTTATTGGTTATAGAGTATCTGTTTGGGGTGACGAAAAAGTTCTGGAATTAGGTAATGCTGATGGTTATACAACACTGTGAATGAAATTAATGCAACTTAATTGTACATTTAAAAATGGTCAAAATGGCAAACATTACATTATGTATATTTTACCTCAATTCAAAGAAATTGACAATATAATATACTGAAACCCATTGAACTGTGCACTTTCAATGGGTGAATTGCATGGTATGTGAATTACATCACAATAAAGCTGCTAAAAAAAGAATGAAAAAGATCACTCGCTTTGGTTCTAGCTTGTTTGATTCAGTTGTCTACACGAAAAAAGTTACTGTAAAGTAGTTTAATCTTTATTTTACTTTGTTTGATGCATGCATCTTCCTTTATTTATGGGACTCTATGCATTAGTGATCACAGTGGTTGGCAGTGGAACACTGGCTCTGGCCTCCTGGGGTGGTGGGAGGCAGTAGAAGGACACTCTTGGATGCATCCTTATTTCTTCTGAGAATTACAGCAAATTTTGGGAAGAGTGTGGCGTGATGGAGAAGCAGTGTGGGTAGAAAGAACTTTTGAGATCTACCTCCCAGGCTTGGGGAAGGAGACAATGTGGCAAAAAGCTCACTATTTCTAAAATAACAACTAGGAATGCAGGCTGAGTTGATGAGCCAAAACCCACACATAAATGAGCTTTAATGATTTATTTTAAGCCTGAGAATAACATAATTACACTGGCTTCCTTATTTACATCATGAGAGGAATGCAGGAATCCCACCTCTATATTTAGCTCGCTGTTCAATTTCAGCAGGTCATTGGGGACCGTGCATAAAACGGCTTCAGAATGTAAGTGTATATTCTCACAGCTCTTATTTCCAACTTTTAACACTTCACCTTTAACTGCTTCAGGGTCAATATCATTTCCCTGAAAGGAAAAAAAAAAAAAAAGGTTGTTAACACTTCACAGTTCTGCAGGAATGCTAACAATGGCAAAGGAATATAAATATACTGCAAACACAGGCCATGTTGTTTGCCAAGGCACACGATTCTATGATACTAATTTTCATGGGAATTGGGATGGCTAAAGGGGAGCATGACCATTTCAGGGCATGTGTTAGTTAGGAATTATAGCATATAGCTTTTGCATCAAATTGGACCTTAAAGAAAAGGAAAGAGGTTCTTGCTTCACATCCTTAAATGTGGAATGATGTCTTACCTATCATCACCTCACCATTGTCCTCAGGGGGTATCAATGTTTGGCAAAAAAGACGCAATGTAGAGATTCAGTTGTTGCACTATCTAACACTGCCCAATGCAGAGATTCTCAGCCTTGACTTTGCTTTTGGAATCACCGTGAAAACTTTAAAAAATACTGATGTCCGGGTCTCATCTCCAGAGATCTGATGTTAAATAGTTGTTAATGTATTAACACTGTATTATGTTATGTTAATATTAATACATTCTTTTTTTGTTTGAGTTGGGTAGTTTACTTTCATCCTTCTTGCACACTTGAGTCCTATACATAAGTGAATTCATTTTAAAAGAAATTTATGTGAGATGCTGTATGACTATTATAATTTGAGAGCACAATTCCATTATTTTGAACAATTACATAGTTACACAAAAATTTTTTAAAAATTAGTTAATGTGGCATATTTAGTTAACTGAAGTTACCATCAGGCATTTTAAAAATATCAACGTTTTGTTTGAGAAACCAATAATTAGCCTTGCGAAAGAAGTGCAAACCTAGGTATAATTTCTCATATCAAGACTTAATGAGTACAGTTATTTATTGAGCAAGCTATTATTTTGAGGTGACATATATCAAAGCATATTACTATTCTTCTTACTAACAAAGAGCAGCCCATAATAGCTAAAATGCTGCTCCTTTGTTTTATATAATCTTTAATACTCGGCAAACTCCATTCACATACATGGTCTCATACGGATCTCAATAGATTGATTGGTCAGGCAGTTATTATTCTAGGAAAAGAAGTGGGAAGAAAATACTTCTTTATAACCTGATGTTGGAGTTTCAGATAAAATGGATATAGACAAACCCTATCCTTATGATACTTCTAGAAGCAGTATGTGTAGTCCATTGAACCAGGTCAGCCACACAGGCCAACACAACACAGAAGCTCAGCAATCTAAGAGATGACTTTAGGGCTTCAAACGACAACTTGTTGGCTAGGTCTGAAGGGGGATAAAACCCTTATCCACATATTGGAGGGAATTCAGGGAATGACAAAGAAAAGAGATTAAAGAGCTGTAGGATTTGATTTATGAGAAAAGGTCTAAAATGTGTCTTGCTTGCTTAGATAATAACTAAGGTTGGGGGAAGGGATGAATGTACAACATTTGTGTTTCCAATACTTATGGTTTCAGGCTTAGGATCTCCCTGGTTGTTGCATAAAGGCTTCTCTAAAACAAAAACAGATCACACATCCACTGTGTCTCATTTTATATGTAGATACCAAAGGACACATGGTAAGTAGTGACTTATATAAGCAACTACTATCAGTTATATATATATATATATACACACACACACATATGTATACACACACACACACACACACACACACACACACATATATATATATATGCATATTAGAAGCGTAAAGTCCCAGATATTACAAAAGTGATACTGGTAGCTCACTTCTATATAACAATGGGGCCCAAAAAAGGAAAAATTTTAAAAGGTATAGGCTAATTTTTGTCATTTAAAATAAAAGAAAGTAAACATAGCTTTATTGAGATGCTAAAAAACTTATATTTAGAAATTTTACTATTAATTATATTAATATTTATTATTGAATATTAACTATTATTAAATAAAAGTCATTCAACTGCTTCAGGGTGATTTCAGTCACTAAAATGGTAATATGTGGGTTTAAAAATAAAGCAACAAAAGAGAGAGAGCTTTCTGATCTTTAATCTCCAACAGACATAGAGCAATTTAGTTATAATCATCTCATATTATCCTGCAAAGATACTCCCCCTGAAGTAGGTATTATTGTCATTTCTGCTTTACATATGGAGAACTATTATCCAGAAAGGGGCTAGATCATGAAGCAAATCAAATTCCATTTGACACAAAATCTACTTACCGTCTACTGTGTGTTAGACACAGTTCTAGTCACTGAGAATATAAAGATGAGTAAGGATTTCTTCCTCTCACTGCAATGTCAAAATGGATCCATTTCAAAAATGAAAACTAATTACTCCCAATGTGCTATATCAGGATGTACCATGTCTCTTTCCTCTCCAACCCTGGCCAGGTGTGACATGTTTCTATTGAGTATTCACACCCGGGGACTCATGTCTGAGATGGTTACAGAACCGAGCAGATGGGAGTGGAAGTGGGTAGGATCTGAAAAATAACACTATGAGAGGAGGGTCCTTCAAGTTTTCATACACCCAGGTGGCCACAGGCTGGGTCTGGGCAAGTCAGTACAGTTTGGCAGCAGGACTCAGCCAGGCTGAGGGTCCAAAGTCCAGGGAGATCAGCAGTAGGAAATTAGTGAGGTGGTGGTGAGGGGGTGAGATTTACACTTCACATAGAGGACACAAGTCCCTCAACTTAGGAACCAAGCAACGAACCTCACAGACAGCTTCAGAACTGAGTTCCACCAGATGTTAATAGGCATTTTGGGGAAAACTTCCCTGGCCATTTGGGAAAAGCTGGGCAAACCAAAATTAAACTGGTGGCTTTGCTGGCTAGTTGGGGACCTTTACTACTAGGTACCATGAAACCACAGGAATATATTTTTTACTATCTTTATTATTAGATACTATGAAACTGCCCTGGAAAAAGAATATATATATATTTTGCAGAATGCCCATTAACCTGGGCAGCACAAAGAAATACTAGTTTGAGAGTAAGCGTTGAGCACCATTAATAAGAACAGGTTTCGACACTGGGCCAAATAACCTCTGAAAAAAGAACCCTTCACTTTTATCCTGTCTGGACTCAGAACTGAGTTCATGGTGGTTTTGACTGAGATTGAGGGGTAGAGTTGCACATAAATTATTCAAAGGGAGAAGGACAACATCTGGCTGGCTCTGGGCAGCAGGTGGATTAGGATGGTTCAAAACCATGCTTCCTTTTTGATCCTTCCAATGCCCACACACTGATGCTTCACCTCCTCCTGAGCTCTCAGCATTTGTTCCTGTGATGACAGTGTCATAGACCAAGTCCCCGCTCCCTGCCCTGGCTCATCTTCCTGTGCTTCTTTTTCCTGTTTGACCTGACTTCTCCAGATTGAACATTTGAAGCATCTTTATTCTCATATGTTCCTATATGCTGCAGAATAAGATAAACCCCCAAGGCAATGTCAGGCAGTCCTTGTTCCAGCATGAAACAGAATACTTTTCTACTTTTCATAAGATATGCTCATGCATAAAAAGTCAGAAATAAGACACTCAGGGAGAAATACAGAGTTTCTTTAAACAGAATAAATTTTTAGATATTTATAAAAAGTTAAGAGCTATTCCCTCTAAAGAACTGCATAGATATATAAATAGCATATGATAGAAAAGTGTCTCTATAATGGTATTTTAGTATACATTAAATGAGAGTTAATATAAGAAATACTGTAATTTAGTGTATGCAGTGACAGAAGACCAAATTTGGAATCAAGAAGCCTGAGTGTGAGCCCCAGTTCTGCTCTTTGCTTCCTGGGTGACCCAAGACAAATCAGCTAATCTTCCTAAACCTTTGTTTACCTATCTATAAATGGGGATAATCATCACTGACCTCCCAACCTCATGGGTCCACATGAGACTCAAATGAAATAAAATATGCCAAAGTACAGTGTCAACTGTAAAATTCCATACAAACATGAGCTGTTGTTGATAGAGGCATTTGGGGAGTCATGTATACCCACAAAGAGGTACCTACTTTTGATGACCACTGTCTACGACTGCTCTTGGGGGACTTGAAGCCTTGGCCAAAAACTTCCTTCTCCATCCATGGGGCTTAGGATTCATTCTGAGGGGTGACTTATGCTTGACCCCTATTGTGTTCCCTCATCCAAACCTGGCTCGCCCTTTTGCCCATGGTGTAGTCACTGGGCTTACTATGAATTGAGGGACTCTCACAACTAGGGCAGGGAATGATCACAATCTCTTTTCACCCTAGGAACTCTTGCATGCATGGCTGCATGAGGAGCATGAAATCTTCCTGGCAATAAAGAGCATATCTCATTCTAAACACATGATTCTCTCCAGAACACTTTCATTGATGAAGTACGTGGTTTTTTTTTTTTTTTTTTTTTTGCTCTGTCTCCCAGGCTGGAGTGCAGTGGTGCCATCTTGGCTCACTGCAACCTCCGCCTTCAGGACTCAGGTCACCTCCGTCCCTCAGCCTCCTGAGTAGCTGGGATTACAGGCACCCACCACCATGCCCAGCTAATTTTTGTATTTTTAGTGGAGATGGGGTTTCACCATTTTGGCCAGGCTGGTCTTGAACTCCTGATCTCAAGTGATTCACCCGCCTTGGCCTCCCAAAGTGCTGGGATTACAGGTATGAGCTACCGTGCCTGGCTGAGAGGTAGAAGTTTTAATGTGATCAACTTAACGTATTGATAAAGAGTTAGATTGCTGACACAACAAATATTCTCTTATGCCTTTGCTTTCCTCTCATACATAAGAAAAATGAAGTATGAAAAAATATTGAACCATGATACTAAAATAATCTCCCTGAATTGCCACTGCTCCCACTAGATTACTATTCTGTCACGTGGCAGGTGCTATACACTTGTTAGAGAAAGAGTTATTCCATATATAGGCAAGAAAATAAAGTGTTTTTTGCCAGTCTCTAGAAGACCCTTTCGCCATGTTGGGAATACCATTGACAGGCCGAGGATGATGCCAAATTATGTTTTTCTTGGTCCAACAATTTTGTAGGATGTTGAATAATGGGTATTTAATTTATGGAAAGAGAAGTTTTCTCTTCCATAAAGACTGTGCTTGGAAGGGTAGATAAAGAACCGTTTATCTCTAATCCCTTCATCATAGATACAGGAACAGAAAAATAGAGTTTCTGTGAGTGTAAAACTATTTGCACATAAACCTTTGTTATCATCAAGAAAAACCAAATGGAATCTTTCAAATGGCAAACACAGTAATTGTTGAAAGCAAAAGGTCACACTAGATTAGTTTTATTAAAAAAAAAGAAGTGATAAAAGCTTATTTCTCCCTTTCTAAAACTAATTAAAGAAGCAGATGAAAGAACTTTGCTTTTGTAAACACACTGTTCATTGAAGCGGGCTTCCATTCAATTTTATGCTGGGCTTGCTTAATTATTGTACAAAACACAATAATGAGGTTAGTAAACTTGTATGAACGTGAACATATGCATAAGTTGGGCTGCAGTTAAATTTTTGTTGAAAAAGTCAGAAAAATTTCAATGGAAACATATTATTACTTAGATGGAGATGACCCATGAAAGCCTATATTACAACCAAATAAAGACTATCCTATTGCTTTATGTTTGTTCATATTTGCATTCAGATCATCTTTCAGGAAAAAAAATTCTAAATGTTTTAACAACATGTTGAAGGATAAATATTTTGCTGTTTCTAGTGACTGGAGCTATGAATAATTCAAGTCTTGAGCATTTTGCCTGTGTTATTATTTGAAGTAGAAACTACTGAAGGGACATAAAAAAGCTGCACTCTAGTCTTTATTATTCTGCCACTATTTTGTCACTTGTCAATCACTTAACCTTTCTGGGTCTTAGTGTTCTTTGTTTGCAACAGGCTTGCTTTAGAAAAGATGATCTGTTATTCTCTATTAAATTACATTTAGAAGCTAATATGTTCCTAAGGTGGCAGATATCTAGTTCCATTTACAAATTAGCTTAGAGATGACCATACCCAGATACAAAATTCCAAGTATTACAAGGAAGAACGGAGATACAATTGATGCATTTACTTTCACAGCTCTTATGTTTTATCTTATAATGAGCACATTTAGGTAACATGTCCGGGGAAATGTATAACATCAGCAAGATAATGCATGACGCGGATCCTCTTTAATGGATAATTTGTGTCCCACATTTGCTACGTTTTAATACATACACAAGAAAGGGTTTTTTAATGCTTCATTAAAATGCAGTCCACGGTTATTCTTATCTTTTAGTTTTATGCCAAAAAGATTTGTTTTTCAGAGTTTATATATTTGCTGGTGTTGTATAAGATACAATGGCCAAGTACAACAATTGTATTCACATAGCTATGAAGTCAATTAAGTTTGAGCTGATGATTTAAGACAGTGTTTAAAGCATTTCTTACCTTAATTTCCAGTACATTTTCATTGCCCATTGAGATCATCACTGGCTTTTCAAAAGGCTTAAACACAGGATTATGTACATAAATGAGATCAAAGTATTTGGAAAGGATCCCATCTAACATGAAAAAGGCTTTGGTTTTCAGGGGGAGTTGCAGATTCAGCTGTTGCAGGGAAGGAGTGGTACAACAGATTATCTCTGAATTAGAGCGATGTTGACATGCCTAGAGAAAGACACAATTATCCACTGTAAACAGAATACAGCTTGGCAACATCCATAGCAACTTTATAATTTACCACCCCAATCAATTGAAAATATATAATTTTTGAAAAAATCTGTATTTAACTTCCTAATGTTAGACTACACATTTCTGGAAACACGATACATGCAAAATTATCCAAACAACCCACCCTTCAAAGAAACACAGAGCTCCACCTGCCCAGCATAAACTGTGCTGATCTATCTGAAGCTGGCCTTCATCTCATCATTTTATTTTCCTTAAGAAGACAGGACAGTCACCTGGAGGAACTGCCCCTTGTTGTGTGAGGCAGTCAGGCAGACTGGGAGCTCAGCTTTGTGGGGTTAGAAGGCCTTGGCTCATCTCCTAGCTTTAACCCAAGCTATGGGAACTAAGGTAGGGCCCACACTGAATAACTCAGTTTCCTCATTTAGGAATTAAGATGAAAATGCTATTTACCATGTTGGATACCACATGGTAAAGTGCTTTGTAAAGCACCAAGCACCATATGGTGAACATGATAATTAACTATGTTGTTAGGTAATCTTATTAGTGTCTTTTAAGCTATTAATTATTGAATGCCAGGTTCTGTGCAAAATACTTTACAAAGTTGGTCTCATTTAATTCTCCTGATAATCCTATAGGTGGGTATTATGATTACCCACAGTTTACAAATGAAGAAACTGAGCTTTGCAAACTTATGTCATTAGGCCAGGTCACACAGCTTGGAGTGGCAGAATAGCGAATATAAATCCTAGGCCATTAACTCCAAAATTCAGTGTCTTCACTCCCATGCTATCTTTTTGTCTATGACATATTTTATACTGAAACCTTTTCCTATGCTCTCTATTTTACAAAGCCTCTGCTATTATTATTTCATGCCCTTTCATGTCTCATTTCAAATCTTCCTCTTTGGAATTCTGATTTATGGAATTTTGGAAAATGTAGCTTCCTCTTGATTGTACTTAGACTAAACCAGCAACACATAGTGGTACATCTAAGGTTAACGGTTGCATTTTTCCCCCAAGGAAAAGACAAACAAGCAACAACATCCCTTAGATTTCCTTTTCTTTGACAAGTATAGTTGGAGATAAAACAATTACTTATGCCCACAATAGAAAAAGGACTCAGGATATACATAAAAAGGACAAACAGAATTTGTTATTTGCTATTTTCTTTAAAAAATCATTTAAAAAATGATCTTACATTAAAAATGTATATAGGCAGCAGATAAAACTGATAGAGATATAATATGGATAAAATTATACTATTTAGTTTTATATAAAATTAATATTATAATGCTAAAAGTTATTTATTCCTGATGGACATGAACAATTTAACTGTCATCACAATAATTGTTTACATAACAAGAAATTTGAGAACTACACAATAAACTGCAGGCTCCTAGGGCATAATGCACATGTTAACAATTTAATATACATTTTGTTATGAAGATGATTGTTCTTGTTTTGAAAGGATTCAAGTTTATTGGACTTAAAGTTATTGTGGCTGGACCTATATATCTAAATCAGACCTGACCAAGAGTTTTTATTTGTTAAATAATAAATGGGTTCAATTCATCATGGTCAGCTTTAAATTCTATAAGTGGCAAGGAACATGGAATGAATACATATCTCCTTATAAAGTACTTTTCACAAACGACAGTAAAATAAATAGTAAATAGTAAAATAGATCCACTGAATTTTTCACTCTTGTCCGATTCTAATGTACAGTTCTACTGTACTAACATGTTTGTCACTAAAACAACAGAAGTTTATATTTCCAGATATATAAACAAATAAGATTTTTATCGTCTACCATTGTTTGAATCATCCTTGGGATATGTAACTCTCATGTGTGACACCTAAAAAGTTTTTAATAAATATTTGATTACAAATGAATGACTGAAGCTAAGGCATTCTGAGTGTCACTTTAATGCCAATGAGGGAGAAGAAAGGAAATTCAGTCATTATCTTAATAATGGAGGCTCAGCATTAATTAGATAAACTAATAATTTCTCAGATTTCTACTTTAAAAGGTCTCATACCAACACCAAAGAGGGTCACTATTATTCTTATTTGGTTAATGAAACATTGTTATGCTTAGTTGTGGAGAACTGATGTCCTTTAAATTAATAGCAGTGGTACTCTAACTTTGTTTGTGGCCATGTGTGGGGATTGGTTTCAAAATGCTTTGCTTCATATGGTGACTCCCTAGAGTACAATCTCTCAGGAATATGATAAAAATCTAATAATACTCTCTAGAGGTGATGCAATGTGGCTGATTGAGAAGGCCAAGAAAAATCTTATTTGAAATGACCTTATTATTTGGTGATTTGGCTTGACATTTTTAGCCCCAAATTGGTTTTTGTAATTAAAGAACATTGTGGCTTTAGTCTTCAAGAAATATTGGATGGAGAATCTAAAAGGAAGTGCTGTAATTCAATCTATCACCTGACCAATCAAGACCTTGCTTGAGCAAGAGCACTTAGAACTTTCATTCTGAGTTGAGTGCTCAAGTCCTACTAGATTATGGTATTTTATATTAGAGAAAAACATCAACAAAATGTATGGAATCTTTGGAAATAACTCCAAGCTTTCTAAGGTCTAAACTAAAACTACCACTTTAATGTGACCTATATAAAATAAGGATAGGTGGAGAAACAGCAAATAACATTCACACTTTAGGACATAACATAAATATTCTAATGCTCTTTCTTTGTTAGCTCTTTCAAGAAAGAGCTAACAAAGGGACAAGAAGAATGATAAGAAGAACAGGGGGCTGTAAGAAAGCATACGTCAGCTGCTTAGAAATGCAAGAATACTGCTGCAAGATCAGCAACCTTTTCCAAGGATTTTATTAGAGCAAAAGGGTCCATGTTCTATGACACATTAAAAAGGGACTAGGGAAATGCTGTGATTTCCATTTGTACTGACTGTCTGTAAAAACACTGCCTCAGGCCAGGCACAGTAGCTCATGCCTGTAATCCCAGCACTTTGGGAGGCCGAGGTGGGCAGATCATTTGAGGTCAAGAGTTCAAGACCAGCCTGGCCAACATGGTGAAACCTCGTCTCTACCAAAAAATACAAAAATTAGCCAGGCATGATGGCTCGTGCCTGTAGTCTCAGCTACTTGGGAGGCTGAGGTGGAGAATCGCTTGAACCTGGGAGGGGGAAATTGCAGTGAGCTGAGATCGTGCCCTTGCACTCCAGCCTGGATGACAGGGTGAGATACTGTCTCAAAAAAACCCTCAAAACCAACCAACCAACAAACATAAAAAAACACTGTCTCAAATTGGTAATCTTCATTCTTGTCTAAACATTATATGTGCATGTGTGTATGTGTATGTATTTTTTCCACATGGTTAGCCCAAGACTCTAGATAATTTCAGTTATTAAATAAAAAATACTACTTGGCTACACTGCAAGGAAATTAACTAGCAAACCTTAAAGGCGAAACTGAGATGTCTCAGGTACCATGAAAGCCACATGGTTAGAGGCAAAGATGCAGAGCTCTGAGTAGAACCATTGCTCAAAGGACTTACCACTGTAAAGTTCCTTCCTGCTTCATGCACATTTATGACCATTCTCGGGACACTAACTGAATTCAGGTTTTTCCCAACACCTGTTATTGTGCTCCCACCACTGGCAAAGCAAAATAGAAAACTGACAATGTTGAGAGGTTCTTTCCACCAAGTACTGTAAGAGAGGGATTCAATTTAATCACCTGCACTGATTACAGGTCAGAGGCACAGTCAACATCAAATGGAAGTTCATGGGTAACTGTTCTTTGGAAACAACTTATTTAACTTGAAAATATTTTTAAAATGCATATTTCATAAGCTTAAGAAATGCATTTGTATTTTATTCACCGAATTACACAAAATAAATATTTCACCTCTGAAAAAAATACAAAGAAAACCGAACTTAACTATTGTTGCTAGACTGATAGAATTAACGGAAACAAGGCAGATTGAACTGGGTCCAATGAGATATCAATTCAAAGAGAGTCTGGCATAAAGAAAAGCTGTGTGTAAAGCAGGCAGGACAAAAACATATCTAGAGAATGGAAGAAAAAAGGTAATTCCACTTCTGGGCACTAAGGTTAGTATAGAATTGATATGTACATAATGTAAGTGCATGTATACTACAATGCCACATTAAACTATTTTGCTATACTCTGTTTAAATGTAATAGAACAGGATAAGATACTTCTTGGAATGAACTAGCATTGATAAGTCAAACTACACTCAGAACCTGAATATAGTTTTCTCTCCTGAATTGGAAAGAAGCCTTCAAAAGCAACATAACAGCATCAAAGCCAGAGATAAAACTGCAATTCCTCTTGACTATTCTACAGCAAAATCATCCTTGTATTCATTGTTTTCTTATACCCATCAGAAGCTTCTACTTACCTAATAAAAGATTTGGTTGGATGAATTTCATAGACAATGGGATCTTCACGGTAACTGAAGATGCTTGTCTCTCGGTTGGCTAAGTCAATTTTCAATTTAACAGCAAACTCAGTTGAAATGGTTTGGGCTGGGGTATAACATTCAAGAATACTGTTTGACACACTGAACAAAAAAAATTAAGGAAGTGAATTTTAGCTATTAGAGATACACATATTTTAGAATTATATCCACAAATCAAAAGGATATAACTCAATGGTTCCTAAGTGGGAATTTCCTGAGTGGAAGCCTTTTCTAGTGTAGGCTGTTTAATCTGACTGGATCTCAAACTTACCTTTGTTGTGGACAAGCTATCCTTGACTGGAAAACATTTGAGATTTGAAAAAAAAACCTTTAAAGTACTTTTGGTACTTGATTAAACTGAGCTCTTCCAACTCTAAGAAGCAGAAACATAACTGTCTTCCAGACCCAATTTTCCCCATTTCTTCCTTCCCCAGAGTGACTTAGTCTAATTACAAATCTTGATGAAAATGTTTATTTTAAATTATTATCAATGACCAGACTCTCACAGCTCATAGTATAGCTAAGATCCTAAGCTATAACAATAAAGAGGGTGGATGGGAAGACAAAACTGAAAAGTAGGATTGCTAAAAAACAAGAGAAAGGAAGAAAAATCAGCAAAAGGAGTAGATGAATTTTGGAAGGAGGAAGTTTTGTCAGTAGGAGAGTAAACAAATAAACATCTTGATTTTTCTTCTCCACACACACACACAAAACAATCTGCTTAATTTTTAAGGTACAGATATTAATTCAAATTGACAGATGCAACAAAAAATAAATTTACAACACCTTTTTAAAGTACATGTTTTTCCACCAATTGAAATGTGTCTAGAATTCCCACTGTTTAGGTAATTTCCAGTTAAAGTAAGTAAAGTGCCACCAGCCATAGGACCGTATTTCGGCGAAATACTTGTTATTACAGGATCCTGGAGGGGAGATAAAAACAAAACAAAGTAACTTGTTCATCTTATAATTTAAATAGATTAAGTAAAAATCAAACATGATAGGATAGAATCTTCCTTACCACATAGGAGAATGTACTGTATTGTGTTGTCCCGTGGCCATTTGAAATAATTATGGACATATTGAAATGCTTATTCATGGCAGGACCAACTGTGCATTTCAATCTGGAAAAAAAACCCAAAGTTTAATACATGACAAATCCAAGGAATTTTCTGGTTAGGTTGTTTTATAGGAAGTGACATTAACTCTAAATGGTGAGCTGACTGCTTTGAATAGCAAGCAGAGTTTCAAGATAAGCATTAAGGCCAAAAATTATATAATCCTATTTCTATACTATGATAAACTTAACTTTTATTTTTATGTAAAAAGAGACAGGATCTTGCTCTGTCACCCAGGCTGGAGGGCAGTGGCATAGTCATAGCTCACTGCAGCCTTGAACTCCTGGGCTCAAGGGATCCTCTGGACTCAGGAGTTGGAACTAGAGGTGCATGCCACGGCATCTGGTTAATTAAAAAAAAATTTTTTTTTTTTTTTGGTAGAGATGGAGTCTCACTACGTTGCCCAGGCTGGTCTTGAATTCCTGGGCTCAGGTGATCCTCCTGCCTTGGTCTGCCAAAGTGCTGGGATCACAGGCGTAAGCCACTGCACCCTGCTTATACTAAACTTTACATTAATGGTACTATAGCACTTATACAGACAAACAGGAAATATCAGACCTTATCCATAAAGACCTCACCAGTTGAATAGTGCATAATAATCTAAGTTTGGATAATATTAATATTTGGGGATAATCTTTGGTCCACTTCAGATGCATATGAAACAATGGGCTAACTACAAATAGGCCAATCTCTTCATTAAAGTATGTCAACAGGTACATTTCTGTGGTTATACTTGTACATGCTTATTTAAATTACTTAAATGATAATGAAATTGTGATGGCTTTCCATAGAATTATTTCTGAATGAATAATCATATAGTTCTGAGAAAATTTAAATACAATTTGATTTATTAAATAACTTTTTAAAGGAGAGAATGAATTATGCTTTACTTTTACAGGTCCTGATTTATATGCAATGATTAAGAGTTTTGGAGATTTTACAAGGGAGATTTCTAGAAAAAATTTGTTTTGCCATTCAGCTAACAAATATTACCTTCATTAGTGTTTTGGTCTCAGTAAAATGGATAGATTCGGACCTTTGTGTAACCCTGAAATGAATTCTATTAGATATAAAATAACCACCTGATAGAATGGGTTCAATCATAAAGATTCAACCATAAAACTTTAAATATTTGAGTGTTGTTATTATGTGATAATGAATAATTTCTGGATTCTCTGATGATTATGGAATTCAAAGCTTGTAGAAGGGTACATGTAGAATACAGTAGAACTAGCACGGGTCTTGGATCAGAAGATGATCAGAGCTGAGCTGAAGGCTTGTTCAGCTCTTACTCTCTGGATTACCTCTGTGAAGCCACACTTCATCTCTCTGAACTTCAGGTACCTCTTTTATATTATAGGAATGATACTGCTCCCTCCCAGGACCGTGGGGATGGTTCAGTGAGATACAGCCCATATATTGCAGTGCCAGTAAATATAAGCTGAATATAAATTTTAACTCATCTAAAAAAGTCTCAAACACGTGATTCAGCTGCCTCACTACATTTCTGAGGTTTAGAAAGTGAATTTAAAAGAGAGGATCCATGCTGAGCTGTTTACTGATTTCTGTAGAAAAAGCCTTTGGAGACTCTACATTTGAAGACTCCAAGGATGAAGTGATCCCAACTAGTGCTACTCTTGCAAATCTACTCAGACAACACCTGAAGACTTGTCGCATAAATGGTTGAGAAACTCCCATTTCTGGCCTCTTCTCTTCACCTAGGCCATGTCACCTTTCTCTCTCTTCAAATCCAATGAGTAAATGGGATTACAAGAACAAAACAGAACAGACCCACAAGGCATGTGACAGGCCAAGACCCTTTTTAATTCAAGAGATGAGCTTCTTGAGCAATTTTAAAAGAAATATTCATTCAAAAACAAAACCTATTTTCCAAGCACACCCCAGCAAAGCATTTTAAGATCCTTACGTATTCATCGTGCTCTCACTTAAAGTCAAGGTGCAGCTCTCATTTCCAAGGAGAACTCTAGTTTTCTTTAAATCAAATTTATTATTCCTCCGAAATCCAAAGTCCCAGCCACATATGGTCAGCCTTGTCCCTCCTTCAAGGGGTGCACTATTTGGGAAAACCTACAAGGACAACATAGAACTTTTAAAAAAACCCAATATATTATAATTTTTCACATATATGGAAAACGAACAAACAAAATGTATATCCTTAAATAGTCTGAAATTCTTTCATTTTCCCACAATTTAGTAAAAATTTAATTTTCACTAAAGGGAAAAGGGTCACAAATTTCAGAGCATCTGGAACAAACATTAAAACTACATGACATGTTAATGAAACAAGTTGTTTTCAGGAGATCCAAAGATGGGACAAAGAGCAGATGCAGCTTGGTAGGAATAAAGGGGCTTTTCGAGTCCTTCCGTTCTTTCTTTCTTTTCTTTCTTTCTTTCTTTCTTTCTTTCTTTCTTTCTTTCTTTCTTTCTTTCTTTCTTTCCTTTCTCTGCTTCCTTCCTTCTCTTTCTTTCTCTTTCTTTCTTTCTTTCTTTCTTTCTTTCTTTCTTTCTTTCTTTCTTTCTTTCTTTCTCTCTTTCTCTCTCTCTCTCTTTCTTTCTTTTTCTTTCCCTCCCTTCCTTTCTTCCTTCTTTCTTTTCTTTTCTTTTTCAGACAGAGTCTGGCTCTGTTGTTCAGGCTGGAGTGCAGTGGCGTGATCATGGCTCACTGCAGCCTCAACCTCTTGAGCTCAAGCAATCCTCCCACATTAGCCTCCTGAGTAGCTGGGATCACAGGCGTGGGCCACCATGCTTGGCTATTTTTTTTTTTTCTAGAGACAGGGTCTCACTACGTTGCCCAGCTGGTCTCAAACTCCTGGGCTCAAGTGATCCTCCTGCCTTGGCCTCCCAAAGTGCTAGGATTACAAGCATGAGCCATTGGACCTGGCCCTTTTTGGGCCATTCTGAAGTGAATTCATCTTCTAGGGCTCTTTAGGGTAGGAGTAGAAACACGTTGGGCCCAGACTTTTACTTGCTCATAACTCTGATTGTAACTCTTCATCAGCCTTCGGACTGAGCTCTTATCAAACTCCTTCATGTGCTCTATAAGCCAAGGTCCAGCCATTATACGCCTTGCTCTGTGCACTGGCTGCGTGCACTACATTCTGGTTGCTATGGTATTCCCCACCCAGAGACAAAAGTTGCACAGTAAAAATACCTCATTTGGTATCCAGTGTTTGCCCAGTTGCATTCAGCAGCTAGCATAATATGAAACATATAGATGGTTTTGGAACACATATCTGCCAATAATTCATTCATTCATTCATTCATTCATTATTTACTTATTTACTTTTAGAGATGGGGGTCTCACTCTTGCCCAGTCTGCAGTGCAGTGGCATAGTCCTAGCTCACTGCAGCCTCAAACTCCTGGGCTCAAGCAATCCTCCCGCCTCAGCCTCTCTAGTAGACAGGACTACAGGTGTGCGCCACCTCACCCAGCTAATTTTTAAATTTCTGTAGAGACGGGGTCTTGTTATGCTGCCCAGGTTTCATTAATTATTTCTTAATAAAGCACCTCCTATGCACCAGGCACTAACAAATGAAAAGTGAATCTACTTCTTTTTACCTATTAGTTCACATTTATTAATGACTGAAGATTTTTCCTTGTTCTTTAAATATGGTCACTATTTGATGTATACCAGGCTGGTTAGTTGACACACTCAGCCTTTTAAAAATTATGTAATATTTAATACATGTGTTATGTTGTTTCTTTTAGAAATAGATAAAAACGGAACCAGAGAGGGCCCAAAATCAGTATTGTAACAATTTTTCCTAATTATCTTCATTGGTATTGTTTTATATCTCATTTTTAGGATTAAATTTTTCCCCCTGATGGTTGATGTTAAGCAAATAACAGACTCATTTTGTTATTGCAGACTCATTTCTGGTATGTTATCAATGGATTTATTGATAAACCTTGGTCAGTCATGATTTAAGACCGCATTAGGCACCTATAAAGTGTGTAAGATAATTGCTCTCAGGCTAAAACTATTAAAACAAAACACATTTCCAAGTTAAAAATAAGCTTCTTCTCAGCAGCTTTGTGACAATTGAGAAAGGAAATGCTCTTTTGGGGGTGGGGACATATTGTAAATTGTGCTGTAAAGTACAATGGTGGGAAAACTAAGATAGAGGCAACTCAAGAACCAGTAAAGGTATTTGCTAAAGCTCAGCTTGTGAACATCTAAAAGTGATTCTTTTACAATTAAGAAGGGCTTTTAGCCAAATTCAAACTTGCAAACATTTCCATCCTTCCTAAGTAAATAATTGCAAACCAAAGTCTTAATGTACCCTCGTTATCAAACCCCTTTAAAGTTTTAGCTTAAAGCTTTTATGATAGCCATTTTACCCATAAAAATCCATTACACTGTTGTGCCTTTCCTGAAAATTTACCTCATCCATGTCTAGTCAAATGAGAACTACTAGAAAAATAAATCTGTTTATTATTATTATGGTAGAAATCCAGTAGGAGAGAACAAGACATCCAACCCTCCCAGGACTCTCTTCAGCCTGAGGCAGTCACACAGCTGCTGCCGGCTCTTCTAATGAGGAGGCTTCCCCACTGAAAACGCTGCCCAAGGCTGATGTTGGCCTGATCCCACTGCCTACATCCCGTCTTTCTATGTAAAAACTGAAGTCTGTCACTCTACACACATCATTACCATCACTTTCTATAAAAGGCAAACGGATTGGGTGATGATTTGAGAAAAGACGCAGAGAGCTGCGCAACTGGGGCACTGGCAATAGGAAGAGATATTATAAGCCCTCTGCTAGACCCTCAGGATCCAAGAGGCTCGCTCTGCTTAGCTTTTCTCTCTGGGCTGGGCATTTTCCCCTTAGCTTATGGGGTAACCTTTACCCTTCTAGGGAAAAAGGAAGGAAGCAGTTGTGAACTACACACCCTTGGATAGACCCAACAATGGCTGGCAAACTCTGAGTTATCCTGAAGGGCAGAGAAACTCTGTGGGCAGGAAATGAGCGTCCGGCATAAAGCCACAGAGGCTGGGTCTCCTACCTGTCTGGATAGGGGAGATACAGCCACAAAAGTAGCCCTTGTCTTTTCACAGGTGAAAGATCACATCACTGATGGGCCCATTCCAACAGTATTTTAAATGATCATGCTTTCAAAACCCATTAGGATAAAACATGAGAAAACTAAAAAACAAAAACAAAACAGAACAAAAAAACTCCAAAAGGGGTCTCCTTTCCTCTTTAGTAGAACTCACAAATATATTTACTGGTGGCAGTATACTGCCTGCCTACCCTCCTATCCCTATATAATACTGCTTTTCTGAGTATTCTGATCAATGAATAGTTCTGTTGTCTCACTGGGGTTGAATTTTCTTTCTTTCTTTCTTTTTTTTTATTGAGACAGAGTCTCGTTCTGTCATCCAGGCTGGAGTGCAGTGGAGCAATCTTGGCTCACTGCAAGCTCCGCCACCCAGGTTCACGCCATTCTCCTGCCTCAGCCTCCCGAGTAGCTGGTACTACAGGCACCTGCCACCATGCCTAGCTAATTTTTCCTATTTTTAGTGGAGACAGGGTTTCACCGTGTTAGCCAGGATGGTCTCGATCTCCTGACCTCGTGATCTGCCCACCTCGGCCTCCCAAAGTGCTGGGATTACAGACATGAGCCACCACGCCCGGCCTGAATTTTCAACCTTACAAGATATGATAACTGCATCCTAATACATTCAGAATATATTAAAAAGTGCTCTCCCTTTTCTGAAGCATTTCTCATTGCTCTTTAAGTATGAGATCAGATACCATGTTTGAAGCAAAATAATGGGCTTACAGTCCTGAAATCTCTCATATCTAGAACTGTAAAGAATTTTAGCCACTGAACATCATGTACCTTGAAAAGCAGGTTAACTTGCATGTATTAGAAAGTGAAACTCCATACATTAGCTGGATTTTGTGCCTGCAAAGTTTAAGACACATAAGATTATCTGTCATCTACATTAGGTATTTCTCCTAATGCTATCCCTCCCCTAGACCCCCGCCACCCGACAGGCCCCTATGTGTGATGTTTCCCTCCTTGTGTCCATGTGTTCTCATGGTTCAACTCCCACTTATGAGTGAGAACATGCAGTGTCTGGTTTTCTGTTCCTGTGTTAGCTTGCTGGGAATTACGGTTTCCAGCTTCATCCATGTCCCTGCAAAGGACATGAACTCATCCTTTTTTATGGCTGCATAGTATTCCATGGCATATATGTGCCACATTTTCTTTATCCAGTCTATCTTTGATGGGCATTTGGGTTGGTTCCAAGTCTTTGCTATTGTGAGTAGTGCTGCAATAAACATACGTGTGCATGTATCTTTATATTAGAATGACTTATAATCCTTTGGGTATATACCCAGTAATGGGATTGCTGGGTCAAATGGTATTTCTGATTCTAGATCCTTGAGGAATCGCCATACTGTCTTCCACAATGGTTGAACTAATTTACACTCCCACCAACAGTGTAAAAGCATTCCCTATTTCTCCACATCCTCTCCAGCACATATTGTTTCCTGACTTTTTAATGATCACCATTCTAACTGGTGTGAGATGGGATCTCATTGTGGTTTTGATTTGCATTTCTCTAATAACCAGTGATGATGAGCTTTTTTTCATATGTTTTTTGGCCACCTAAATGTCTTCTTTTGAGAAGTGTCTGTTTATATCCTTGGCCCACTTTTTGATGGTTTTTTTCCTTGTAAATTTGTTTAAGTTCCTTGTAGATTCTGGATATTAGCCCTTAGTCAGATGAATAGATTGCAACAATTTAATCCTGTTCTGTAGGTTGCCTGTTCACTCTGATGATAGTTTCTTTTGCTGTGCAGAAGCTCTTTAATTAGATCCCATTTGTCAATTTAGACTTTTGTTGCCATTGCTTTTGGTGTTTTAGTCATGAAGTCTTTGCCCATGCATATGTCCTGAATGGTATTGCCTAGGTTTTCTTCTAGGGTTTTTATGGTTTTTAGGTCTTGCGTTTAAGTCTTTAATCTATCTTGAGTTAATTTTTGTATAAGGTGTAAGGAAGGGGTCCAGTTTCAGTTTTCTGCATATGGATAGCCAGTTTTCCCAACATCATTTATTAAATAGGGAATCCTTTCCCCATTGCTTGTTTTTGTCAGGTTTGTAAAAGATCAGATGGTTGTAAATGCGTGGTGTTATTTCTGAGGCCTCTGTTCTGTTCCATTGGTCTATATCTCTGTTTTGGTACCAGTACCATGCTGTTTTGGTTACTGCAACCTTGTAGTATAGTTTGAAGTCAGGTAGCGTGATGCCACCAGCTGTGTTCTTTTTGCTTAGGATTGTCTTGGCTATGCGGGCTCTTTTTTGGTTCCATATGAAATTTAAAGTAGCTTTTTCTAATTCTGTGAAGAAAGTCAATGGTAGCTTTATGGGGATAGCATTGAATGTATAAATTACTTTGGGCAATATGGCCATTTTCACAATATTGAGTCTTCCTATCCATGAGCATGGAATGTTTCTCCATTTGCTTGTGGTTTGTAGTTCTTGAAGAGGTCCTTTTCATCCCTTGTAAGTTGTATTCCTAGGTATTTTATTCTCTTTGTAGCAATTGTGAATGAGACTTCACTCATGATTTGGCTCTCTGTTTGTCTATTATTGGTGTATGGGAATGCCTGTGATTTTTGCACATTGATTTTGTATCCTGAGAATTTGCCGAAGTTGCTTATCAGCTTAAGGAGATTTTGGGCTGAGACGATGGGGTTTTCTAAATATGCAATCATGTCATCTGCAAACAGAGACAATTTGACTTCCTCTCTTCCTATCTGAATACCCTTTATTTGTTTCCCCTGCCTGATTGCCCTGGCCAGAACTTCCAATGTTATGTTGAATAGGAGCGGTGAGAGAGGGCATCCTTGTCTTGTGCTGGTTTTCAAAGGGAATGCTTCCAGCTTTTGCCCATTCAAAATGATATTGGCTGTGGGTTTATCATAAATAGCTCTTATTATTTTGAGATATGTTCCATCAACACCTAGTTTGTTGAGAGTTTTTAGCACGAAGGGGTGTTGAATTTTATCGAAGGCCTTTTCTGCATCTATTGCAATAATCGTGTGGTTTTTGTCATTGGTTCTGTTTATGTGATGGATTATGTTTATTGATTTGCCTGTGTTGAACCAGCCTTACATTCCAGGGATGAAGCCAACTTGATTGTGGTGGATAAGCTTTTTGATGTGTTGCTGGATTTGGTTTGCCAGTATTGTATTGAGG